>NC_000003.12:127796483-127947998 GCF_000001405.40 Homo sapiens | reverse complement strand
GGCCAGTGATCATAATGCAGTGATCATTACGATCATGGATATATGGAAAAGTCATATGTTGAAAGGCATCGGAGAGGTGCAGAAACAGTAAGGACTAGATGAGCTAACATTCCAGAGAGGGAAGAGCCTCTTCTAGGCTGTTTTCTGCCCTTGAGGGATTTGCTGATTCTGGACCAAGGCTAAGAGCTGGATTTGGCACAGACAGAGGAACCCTGCTGAAGGAAAGAGAGACCAGGGGGGTTTTTGGCAGTTGTGTGGGGCTGTTGTGACAGATTGGTAGCTAGAGGATCTGCACAGAGGAACCTCAAACATGTGGCCAACTTTCTCCTCAAAAGCACTGATTAATGGGGCAATCTGGATTCTGGGCCAAATACTTTTAATGTCAGAGAGAAATCTCTCACAGCTGCATGGTATATAGGTGACCAAATCTGGCTTAAGTGAGGGGCTTGCCACAAACACACATGTGGTCTCCATCTCAAGAGATCTGTCAGGTTTTGAAGTTGTTCAGGGAGGCTAAAAAGCTAAGCTAAACAACTCTGAAGTTGTTTAGAATCCCCACAGTCTTCCAGGATAGAGGAGACAGATCCTTCCAGCTTACCATCCAAAGTCAGGAGTGGCGGGGAAGACTGGCCCATGCCTAAGGAACAGGGCTGAAGCACAGAAGACTGAGACTTATTAAGGCTGCAACTTACCCTGGCCCATCCCAGGCCCTGATTGGACTGAGGGAATCAGTCCCTTGCTCTAACTTACCAAGGAAAGGCAGAATCCTCTCAGGGAGGAGATCATCAGGAGCCTCTGGTTCTTTTCCATAGCTCAGTATACAAGAAAAAAATCACCAGACATGGGCATAGGCAGGGAAATATGGCTGATCAAAGAAAAAAACATAACAGAAGCAGACTTGTGAACTATCCAAATATTGAAATAACTGATTAATAATAAGATAAAGAAAACAGAAAAAAACAGATAGACAAAAATGGATGAGAAAAGTAGAGAAATTCACAAAATAAGTGGAATCTATGAAAGAGAATAAGGTGGACATTCTAGAAATGAAAAATATAGTATCTGAAAAGAAGAAGAAAATGGCTGGGTTAACAGCAGTCTGAATACAACGGAAGACAGGATAAGTGAACTTGAAGATAGTTCAATAAAAAATATTCAAACTGAAGTATGGGAATAAAAAAGTATGGAAGAATTCCAGTAAGACCCGAAGAGACACATGGCACATAAAGGTCTAGTGTACAGAAAATGAGCATCTCACAAGGAAAGAAGGGAGAACAAAATAGAAGCAATATTTAAAAAGACAAAAGCTGAGAATTTCCCCAAAACAGATGAAAACATCAATCCATACATTCCAAAAGCACAGTGAACCCCAAGTAGAATAAAAACAAAGAACCCACACTTAGGCAGTTCATAGTCAAATTGCTGAAAACAACAGTGAAAAGAAAAATCTCACATGAAGTCAGAGAAAAAAGGGCACATTACCTTCAAAGGAACCACTATGAGACTGACATTTGCTTTTTAAATAAAAACTATGAAAGCCAGATGAAATAGACTGACATATTAAAGTGCTGACATATACTGCCGATATATAATTCTATAACCAGCAAAACATATACCTTGAAAATGAAGACAAATGAAGACATTTACGGACAATCAAAAGCCAAGAGAATTAATTACCAGGAGACTTGCACTACCATAAGTATTAAAGAAAAAAACTTAAAGGTAAAGACACTTTATTGAAAGGTTGGAAGCCTGTAACTTTAGGAAGGAGTGAAGAATGCTGAAAATGGCAATTTTGTGAATAAACATAACAGGTTGTTTAAAGAACCACAACCACAATATAAAGGTATATAAACTATATAACAAGAAAAGTACAACGGGTGGAAGGAATGAAATTAAACTGTTGTCAGGTTCTTATATTGTTTGAGAAGAGGTAAAAGTATTAACTTAAGGTAGACTGTAATAAGTCAAGACTTCATATTGAAATCTCTGGGACAACTAATACAAAATAATATAAACGGGCCAGGCGCGGTGGCTCACGCCTGTAATCCCAGCACTTTGAGAGGCCAAGACAGGCAGATCATTTGAGTCCAGGAGTTCAAGACCAGCCTGGCCAACATGGTGAAACCCCATCTCTACCGAAAATACAAAAATTATCCAGGCATGGTGGCACATGCCTGTAGTCTTAGCTACTCGGGAGGCTAAGGCAGAAAAGTCGCTTGAACCTGGGAAGCGGAGGTTGTAGTAAGCCAAGGTTGCACCACTGCACTCTAGCCTGGGTGACAGAGCAAGACTCTGTCTCAAAAAAAAAAAAAAAAAAGTGAAAATAAGAAGACCAGTTCAGACTCAACAAAAACATAACCCAAATGAAAACTGGGGAAGAGACTTAAACAGACCTTTCTCAAAATAAATACAAATAACCAACAAGCATATGAAAAGATGCTCATCATCACTAGCCATTATGGAAATGCAAATCAAAACCACAGAGACATCACCATTAAGATAGTTACTATTTGGCCGGGCGCGGTGGCTCATGCCTGTAATCCCAGCACTTTGGGAGGCTGAGGCGGGTGGATCATGAGGTCAGGAGATCGAGACCATCCTGGCTAACAGGGTGAAACCCTGTCTCTACTAAAAATACAAAAAATTAGCCGGGCATTGTGGTGGGCGCCTGTAGTCTCACCTACTCGGGAGGCTGAGGTAGGAGAATGGCGTGAACCTGGGAGGCGGAGCTTGCAGTGAGCCGAGATCATGCCACTGCACTCCAGCCTGGGCGACAGAGCGAGACTCCGTCTCAAAAAAAAAAAAAAAAAAAAAAAAAAAAAAAAAAAAAAGATAGCTACTATTTTTAAAAAAAACACACAGAAAACAACCAGTGTTAGACCAGCCTAGGCAACATGGAGAAACCCCATCTCTACAAACAACAACAACAGCAAAAACAAATACCAAAATTAGCTGGGTGGGTTGGCATGAGTCTGTGGTCCCAGCTACTTAGGAGGCTGAGGTGGGAAGAGCACCTGAGCCTGGGAGGTTGAGGCTACAGTGAGCCATGATTGTGCCACGGACTCTAGCCTGAGCAACAGAGCAAGACCCTCTCTCAAAAAATAAAATAAAATAAATAACAAAAAATAAAATAAAATAGAATAAAATGTAGAGAAGAACATTTCCCCAGTACAGTAAAGGCCATTTAGGAGAATCCCACAGCTAACATCATAATCAGTGGGGGGAACCTCAAAGCTTATTCTTTAAGATTTATTACAATGCAAGGATGCCTTGCCACTTCTATACAACATAGTACTGGAATTACTAGCAAGAGCAAATAGACAAGAAAAAGAAGTAAAAGCCACCCACACTGGAAAGGAAGAAGTAAAATTATCTGTTTGCAGATGACATGATCCTACATATAGACAAGCCTAAAGATTCCACAAAAAAATTGTTAGAACTAATAAATTCAGTGAAGTTACAGGATACAAAATCAACACACAAAAATCAGTTGCATTCTTTATACCAACAACCACTTATCTGACAAGGAAATAGAGAAATCTCATTTACAACAGTACCCAAAAGGATAAAATACTTAGAAATAAATTTAACCAAGAAAGTGGATAATCTCTGCACTGAACACTTTATAAAACACTGATGAAAAAAAATAAGATACAAATCAATGGAAGCATATCCCATATTTGTAGATTTAAAGAATTAATATTGTTAAAATGTGCATATTACCCAAAGTGATATATAGATTGAACACAATCCCCATCAAAATTTCAATGAAAATTTTCACAGAAATAGAAAAAAACTATTCTAAAATCTGTGTGGAACCATGAACGACTCCAAATTGCTGAAGTAATCTTGAGAAAAAAGAACAAAGTTAGAGTCACCAACTTCCGGATTTCAAGTTCTATTACAAAGCTATAGTGATCAAAACAGTATGGTACTGGCAATAAAAACAGACACATAAACCAATAAAATGGAATAGAGAGCCCAGAAATAAACCCAAGGATATACAGTCAACTAATTTTTGACAAGGTGCCAAGAATATACAATGGTGAAAGGACAGTCTCTTCAATAAATGATGTCAGGAAAAATGAATATCCACATGCAAAAAATGAAATTGGACCTTATCTTACACTATACACAAAAAGCAACTCAAAATGGATTAAAGACTTAAACATAAGACCTGAAATGGTAAAACTCGTAGAAGAAAACATAGGGAAAAGTTGCTTGACATTGGCCTTGGCAATTTTTTGAATATGACACCAAAACCTTAGGCAACAAAAGCAAAAAATAAACAAGTCAGACTACATCAAACCAAAAAGCTTCTGTATAGAAAAGAAAAAAAAAATGAAAAGACAACCTGCATATTGAAAGAAAATATTTGCAAATCATGTATCTGAAAAGGGTTAATATCCAAAATATATTAGGAACTCACACAACTCAATAGCAAAAAAACCCAAATAACCTAATTAAAAAATGGGCAAGGGACCTGAATAGATTTTTTTTTCAAAATCTATTTGTATATCAAAAAAGATATACAAATGCCCAATAGGTATATGAAAAAAGCACTCAACATCACTAATCAATAGGGAAATGCAAATCCAAACCACAGTGAGACATCACCTCATACCTGTTAGGATGGCTATTATCAAAAAGTGTTGACAATACAGAGAAAAGGGAACCCTTGTACACTGTTGATGGGAATGGAAATTGGTATGGCCATTATGGAAAAAAGTATGGAGTTTCTTCAAAAAACAGAAATAGAACTACTATGTGACCTAACAATCCCTCTTCTGTGTATACACACAAAGGAAATGAAATCAGTACCTCAAAGAGACTGCTATAGTTTGGATGTGGCTTGTCTCCACCAAAAGTCATGCTGAAATTTGATCCCCAATGTGGCAGTGTTGGAAGGTGGGGTCAAGTGGGAGGTGTTTGGGTCATGGAGACATATCCTTCATAAATGGCTTCGTGCTGTTTTCAAAGTGGTGAGTTCTCTCTCTGGGCAGACTGGATTAGTTCTCATGAGAATAAATTAGTTAATGCAAGAGTCTGTTGTTATAAAGCCAGCATGCCCCTGGGATCTGTCTCTTCACACAGGTCAGCTTCCTCTTTGACCTTCTTTGCCATGTTATGGTGCAGCAAGAAAGCCCTTGCCAGAAGCCAAGGTCATGTCCTTGAACTTCCCAGTCTGCAGAACCATGAGCTAAATAAACCTCTTTTCCTCATACATTACCCAGTCTCTGGTATTCTGTTACAGCAACACAAGATGGACTATAGTTATATATATATATATATAGTTATATATATAGTTATATATAGTTGTATATATAGTTATATGTAGTTATATATATAGTTATATATAGTTATATATATATAACTAACACAAGAATGCTCATCTTCATTGCAGCATTCACAATAGTCAAGATATAGAAACAATCTAAATGTTCATTAATGGATGACTGAATAAAGAAATGGAATATTATTCAGCCTTTAAAAATGAGAGCATGCAATTTGTAACAACATGGATAAACTAGACATTACACTAAGTGAAATAAGCCAGACACAGAAAAATATTGCATGAACTCAGCTATATCTGGAATATATGTAGAATGAATAAGTCTAAAGATCCATAGTACAGCATGATGACTACAGTTAATACTGTATCGTATTCTGAAAATTTGCTAAGAGTAGATATCAGGTACTCCCACCGCACATACACTTAAAAGGTATGTGAGGAGACAGATATGTTAATTAGCTTGATTATAGTAATCTTTTGACTATGTATATCAAAATATGTTGTATGCCTTAAATACATACATTTTTTAAAAGTAAATGATTGACCTTTTGTATTTGCTGACTACACTAAACCCCTTTATTAGTTCTAGAAATGTAAAAGATAGGCCCTTTTAGATTTTCTACATAGATGATCATGTCATTTGGAAATAGGGACAGGTTCATTTCTTCACTTCTGCACAACTTTATCTTTCTTTATTGTATTAAGACTTCCACTATGATGTTGAATAATAGTGATAAGTGTATTCTTGCCTTTTTCATGAACTTAGGGGGAAAGCATATAAATTTGCCATTAAGAATGATATTGGCCGGGCATGATGGCTCATGCCTGTAATTCCAGTACTTTGGGAGGCTGAGGCGGGTGGATCACTTCAGATCAGGAGTTCAAGACCAGCCTGGCCAACATGGTGAAACCCCGTCTCTACTAATAATACAAAAATGAGCTGGGCGTGATGGCAGGTGCCTGTAACCCCAGCTACTTGGGAGGCTGGGGAGGAGAATTGCTTGAACCCGAAAGATTCCGTCTGGGAGATGGAGGTTGCAGTGAGCTGAGATCGCACCACTGCACTCCAGCCTAGGCAACAGAGTGAGACTCCATCTCAAAAAATAAAAATAATAAAAAATTAGAATGATGTTACCTGTAGATTTTTCATAGGTGTCTTTTATCAGATTGAGAGGTTGAGGAAATTCTCGTATCTTCTTGGTTTGCTGAGAATTTTTCATTATGAACAAATGTCATACTCTTTCAAATGATTTTTAGGCATCAATTGATGTGATTATGTGGCTTTTCTTCTGCAGACTATAATATGGTAGATCATATTGATTGATTTCTGAATATTGAACTAATCTTGCATTCTCAGGAAAAAACACGTTTGGCATGGTGTGTTTTCTACATATATTGCTGGGTTGAACTTGCTAATATTTTGTTAAGGATTTGCATGTTTGTGTTTAAGAGTGATATTGATCTGTAGTTTTCTTTTTCTGTACTGTCTTGTCTGGTTTGGTATTAGGTAATGCTGACCTATAAAATGAGATGGGAAGTTTTCCCTCTTTGTTCTAAAAGAGGTTGCAGAATTGCTGTTATTTTTAAATGCTTGGTTAAATTCACGAGTGAAACCATTTGGAACTAGATATTTATTTTTTGAAATGTTTTAAACTAAGAATTCAATGTATTTAATCATTTTGGGGTTATATCTTTTATCTTAGGTGGCTTTTAGTAGTTTGTGGTTTTCAAAGAATTGGTCCATTTCATCTAAGTTGTCAAATGTATTTCTGTAGAGTTGTTTGTAGCACTGCCCTATTATCCTTTTAATATTTTCAGAGACTGTAGTAATATCCCTTTTCATTTCTAATATTGGTAATCTGTACTGTATTCCTCTTTTTATTGGTTAGTCTTGCTAGTGTTTACCAACTGTATTGGCTTTTTCAAAGAAACAGATTGGTTTCATTGATTTTCCTTTTTTTTTCAGCCTCTAATTTCCCTGTTTTCTGCTCCTATCTTTATTTACTTTCTTCTACTTGATTTATGTTGTTCTTTTTCTAGTTTTTAAAATCAGGGGCTTAGACTATAGATGTGAGAACTTTCTTCTTTTCTAATACAAGCACTTAATGCCATAAATTCCTTCTAAACACTGCTTTAGCAGTACTCTTCGAACTTTGATATGTTGTGTTTCCATTTTCATTCAGCATAACATATTTTCTAATTTCTCTTGAGATTTCGTCTTTAACCCATGGATTATTTAGAAATGAGTTGCTCAATTTTCAAGTATTTGAAGACTATTCAGTTATCCTTATGTTCCACTGTGGTCAGAGAATATACTTTGTATGATTTTACTTCCTTAAATTTTGTTAAGGTTTGTTTTATGACTCAGGATATGGTCTATCTTGGTGAACATTCCATGTGCTCTTTCTGGGTGGAGTGGGCAATAAATGTCAGTTAGATCTAGTTGGTTAATGGCGTTATTGAGCTCTTTCTATATACAGGTACTTGTTGTTTTTCTATCTACTGGTTCTATTTATTATTGAGAGAGGAGTGTTAAATCTTCAATTATAATTGTGGAGTTGTCTATTTCTCCTTTCAGTTTTGTCAGATTTCACTGCATGTAATTTGGTTCTGTTGTTAGGTACATACACATTTAGTATTGTTATGTCTTCTTAGTGAATCAATTATTTTATCATTATGTAATGTCCTTCCATGCCTCTGGTAATTTTCTTTCTGCTGAAGTCTACTTTATTTGATCTTCACAAAGCCACCCCAGCTTTCTTTTGATCAGTGTTTGCATGGTATACATTTTCCAGCCTTTTACTCTTAAACTACCTATATCATTATAGTTGAAGTGGGTTTCATGTACACAGAATATTTTTAGGTCATTCTATTTGTAATCCATTCTGACAATTTCTGTCTTCTAATTGATGTCATTAGAACATCTGCATTTAAGGTAATTATTTTTGTGGCTAGATTTAGATCTACTGATTTATTGCTTGCTTTGTTTGGTCTCTCTGTGGTATTTTTTTCACTTTGTCTGATCTCTTTTAAATTATTTAAACATTTTTCAGTCTTCCATCTCAATGCATTTATTGTGATTTTTACTATATCTCTTTGAATAGCATTTCTTTTGGGATTACAAAATACGTACTTATTTCATAGTCTACTTAGTATCAGTATTTTATCACTATAACTGGAATGTTGGAATCTTCGCCTTATAGTTCCATTTACCCTCCCTCTTTCATGCTTTGTAAATATATGTCTCATAGATTACACCTAAATACATTGAAAAACCCTCCCTGAGATCTCCCTGGTATTTTCAGTTCCCAAATGTTCCCTTTTTCGGTTCTCTGGCTAGAAACTTGAGGTTCTAGTTACCCCTCTCTGCCATATATTTCTGCATTTGGAAGCTTGTTGGGCTCAAGTGACAAGACAAGAGAGAAAGGAAAAGACGAAAGCAACGTGGGTTGACCACACCCTCTTGGAACTGCAGCTTGACTAAATGGAGAGGAAGTTTCTTCTCCCTTTGAGTTTTGGCTCTTGCTGGTCATCATTGCCATGGGATTGTCTAGGTATTGAGATGTAAGAGTACAGAGAAAAGAGAGAAAAAAGTGAGGGGATATCTACATTCTGATAATTATAACCTCCCTTTTCAGTAACTCATGCCGGAGCCAGACAGATTTTCTTGGAGCTCTCTCTGTGCACAATGGCCACTTCCGGGTTTCTAGTTGCGTTGACTTCAGGCTAGGGGCTATCAGAGGAGAAAACATAGTAAATCCTATGGTAGTGGTACTTAAAATTCTGGTGTTCTTTCTTGATGTACCTACTTCTGTTTACAGAGTCTTCAAATACATGCATTCTGTCCATGTTTTATAGTTGTATTCAGTGGGAGAGAACGTGAAGTGTGCTTACTCCATTTTACCTAGAGCCAGAAACTCTATTAATCGATTTTGCTTTAAAGTATATTTTTGCTAATATTAATAAACAGCTATACCAGCTTTCTTTTAGTTAGAATTTACCTAAAATGTATTTTTCAATCAAGTCATATTTTAAACAGAATACGGTTGGTTTTCTTTCCAACAGATGGATAATCTTTGCCTTTTAACTGAAGCATTTAGTGCATTTCCATTTAATATAATTGTTGGTACATTTCATCTAATATCTAGCTTTTTATTTCATGTTATCAGTTGTCTTGTTTATTCTACTTCTTCTTTCTTACTTATTGCATTCTTTTGCACTGATCTTTAACTCTATTTTTCCCATTTGTTAGTTTAAAATTTGTATACTCTGTATTCTCTTAGTGGTAAGCCTAGAAATTTCGCATGCATACTTAATGTCTGCATCAAATGTTGCAAATTTAATCCTTTCCTTGGTCCTCCTCCTGGATAATCAGGGGATCTTAGGACACTTTCACTCCACTCACCCCTGTCCCAACTTGTTATTATAATTTTGATTTCATTTCTTTTACTATTTTATCACTGTTTAAAAATATTAATTATTATTTTATAAGTCAATTTAATATTTGTAACTGATATTAAAATAGTCTATCTTAAATATTTAACTGTGAAGTGTTTCCATTTACCCATATGTTTACCACATTCTTTGCTCTTCATTTCATCTTGCATTTTAGATCTTCAATCTGGGATCACATTTTTTGCTTAAAGACATACTTTAAAATTCCTTTATGGTGGTCTGCTGGTGGTCTGCTTTCAGTGTTACCTCATCTGAAAATGTCTTTATTTCATCCGTATTCTTGAAAGACCATCTCATTAGGTATAGAATTCTACTTTAGCATTTATTTTCTCCTAGCACATTAAACATGCAATTTAACTGTCTTTAGGATTCCATTATTCTGTTGATAAGTCAGATGTCAATCTGTCACTTCTTAAAAGTAATCAGTCTGTTTTCTTAATTTGCTTTTAAGATATTCTCTTTTCATTGGTGTTTTTCAGTTTCATGATCACTACAAATCTAAGTATACATTTCTTGTTTGTTTGTTGTGCTTGGCATTCACTATTTTTGCTTGTTTGTGTGCATTAGTGCCTTTCACTGGTTTTAGAAAATCCTCACCCATTTTTCTTCAGATATTGCTTCTGTTCTGTTCTCTTTCCTCTCCTTGTAGAACTCTGTTAAACATTATTAATCCCCTCACTCTATTACCCATCTATTTTAACTTTTCTTCTACTTAAAAAAAATCTTTGTGATGCACTCTGGGCAAATTCTTCAGAACTCTCTTCTATTCACTAATTTTCAGAACTTTCTTCTACTCACTAATTTTCTCTTTATCTTTGTGTGATCTGCTCTCAAATATACCTATGAGGTTTTAATATTGTTATATATTTTTACATCCCTTGCAGTTATAAAGTCACTTCTTACCCAAACATTTTTGATCATTCTCTATCATTTTCTATTTCCTGGTGATATTGTAAATTTTATTCTTTTATTTCTTTAAACGGAGTAAGCACACTATTTGTCTGACACTTCCAGTATGTGAGGTCTCCACTGTTTTGTTGTTGTTGTTGTTGTTGTTGTTGTTGTTGTTGTTGTTTTCTGGCCATTATTTCCACCAGTTCTTGCTCAAGGTGTCTTGTTTCATTAACTGTGGAATGCTTATTTTCCTTGGAAAATTATTTGTGGGGGATTTTTGAGGTCTAGGATAAAGATGCATTTCTTGAGAGAATGTGAATTTGCTTTTTCCAGGTACCTGACCACACTACCAGTCTGAGGCATTTTAAAATAAATTCATGATTCAAGCTTTTTCTTTTCTTTTTTCCCACTTGGGTATGCGAATTTGGGTTGCAATTCCACTCAAGAGCTTATTTATGATTATTACTTCTCAGGGATGTATGAGCCTTTCATCAGTAACTTTCTCAATGCCAAGATGTTTCTTTGAAGTCCTCTGAGATGAGAGATGTAAGGCAGGTTTACTTCTAGTATATGGTTACACAGAGGCTATAGCTCTTTGAAGTACCAGCTTTATGTCCATAGTAACTCTAATTAGATTTCCCACCTTGAGTAATTTTGGTAAGCTGCAAGCCTGGGAAACTAAAGCTTACAATTTTCCAGGCTTGATAAATGTTTGGGTGTCCTGCACATTTACTTATTGAGACAACTTAGATACCACATTATACACCCATTGTGTGTACAATTTAGTGATTTTTAGTATATTTACAAAACTATGCAGCCGTCAGCACAAACCAGTAAAGGTAAGTAAAGTTGGTTGATAGTGCTGTTCAAATCTTCTAAAACCTTGCTGATACTCAGTCTAATCCTATCAATTCTTGATAGTAGTATAAATCTCCATTGATGATTGTTTGACTATTTTTCATGTCATTTTTTTTTTTTTCTGTACTCCTGAGCGGAGTCTTGCTCTGTCACCTAGGCTAGAATGCAGTGGCATGATCTCAGCTCACTGCAACTTCTGTCTCCCGGGTTCAAGAGATTCTCCTGCCACAGCCTCCCAAGTGGCTGGGACTATAGGCATATGCCACCATACCCGGCTAACTTTTGTATTTTTAGTAGAGACAGGGTTTCACCACATTGGCCACTCTGGTGTTGAACTTCTGACCTCAAGTGATCCGCCTACCTCGGCCTCCCAAAGTGCTGAGATTACAGGCATGAGCCACCATGCCCAGCCTCATCTCAGGTTTTGCTTCATGTATTTTAGGTCTCTCTTTTTAGGTATGACACGTTTATAATTGATATATTTTCCTGATATTATTGGCAATTTTATTATCATGAAATTTTCCTGTTTGTCTGTAGTAAAAGTTCTACTCTATTTTGTCTGATGATATAGTCACTGCACCTCTCTTAATATTACTTTTTGCATTTTATGTCTTTATTATAAAATGATAGTAAATATTTGTGTATTTGAGTACAAAATGTGTCTCTTATAGAGAGCATATATTTGATTTTAATTTCTTATTCAGTATGAAAATCTTTGCCTTTTGATTAGCGTGTTTGGTCCATTCCCTTTTGATGTAATTTTTGATAATGACTGGCTATACATCTGCCATTTTGCTACTTATTTTCTATGTCTTGTAACTTTTTTTCTGTTCCTCCTTTGCTGCCCTCTCTTGTATTTAACACATTTTTAAGTGCATCATTTTCTTTTGTAACTTTCTTTGAGCAGGCGGCTCACTATATTGCCCAGGCTGGTCTTGAACTCTTGGGCTCAAGTGATCCTCCCACCTCAGCCTTCCAAGTAGCTGGGATTACAGGTGCATGCCACTGTGCCTGGCTTCTTTAGTTGACTTTTAAACTATTTTTTAAAATCTCAGTGGTTGCTCTAAAATTCTAACATGTATTTTACTTTATCATCCTCTATTTTAGGTTAATACTGAGTTGATTTCATTACAAACAGCAACTTTGTTCCAAAATAACCCCATTTTCTCCTCCTCTACTCTCTGATATTGTCATATATATTACATCTGCATATGTGAAAAACCCAACTATATAGTATCACAATTGCTGCTTTACAGATGGTCCCCAACTTAATGATGGTTTGGGCATTTCAACTTAGGACATTTCAACTTCATGATGGGCTTATCAGGGTATAAAATACATTTTTTACTTTCTATATTTTCAACCTATGATGGGTTTTTATTGGAACATAATGCCACTGTAAATTGAGGAGCATCTGTATTCTTTTATATCTTTTAAATAAATTAAGAGAAGAAAAAAGAAAAACACGTCCTATGCAGCCCTTTATATTTCCTTATATATTTACCATTTATTGTGCTATTCATTTCTTCCTGTGGACACAGGTTACTGTCTAGCATCACCTCCGTTCTGTCTGAAGGATTTTAGTGTTCTTTTAGTATTTCTTGTAAGTCTGCTAGCCACATATTATCTCCATCTTTAGTCATCTGGGATGTCTATTTCACCTTAAGTTTTGAAGCACAGTTTTCCTGGATACAGAATTCTTGATTGATCAGTTTTTTTTCTTGTAACACTTTGAATATAATATTCCACTGCCTAGTTGCCTCTATTGTTTCTGGTAAGTCTCATCTGTTAAGTATACTCTTGTTTCCTTCTACATGATACGGCGTTTTACCTTGCTGCTTTTAAGAATTTTCTGTCTTTAGTAGTTCTTCTGTTATGTATTTAGGTGAGGATCTCTGGGAATTTATCCTACATGAGGTCTGATAAACTTCTTTGCTCTGTAGATTAATGTTTCCCCATCAAATTTCAGAAATTTTTGACTATTACTTCTCTCTCTCATTTCCTTTTGGGATTCCCATTAAACATCTGTTCATAGGTTTGATATTCCATCTGACTCTGAGCCCTGCTAATTTTTCTCCAATTTTTTCTCTCTTCTTCAGATTATATAATCTCTATAGATTTCAAGTTCATTGATTCTTTCTTCTAACATATCAAAAGTGCTCCTGAGCCCCTTCAGGGCATTTTTATTTGGTTTATTTTACTTCACAAGTTTAACATTTCCACTGGTTCTTTTAGATAATTTCTATTCTTTATCAATATCAAAGTGGACTCATGGTCATATTTTCCTTTAATTCTTTAAAATTGGTGTTCATTAATTCTTTGAACATATATTTGATAGTCACTTTGAAGACTTTGCCTTTGCCTCCTAAATCCAACATCCAGGCTCACTCAGAGACAACTTTTATTGAATACTTCTGCACCACCCCCACCCCCAAATGGGTTATGCTTTTCTGTTTCTTTTCCTTTGCTTGTGTTGTGATTTTTTGTTGGTACTGGGCATTATGGATAATATATTGTGGCAACTTTTTATCCTGATTTTATTGTTTTCCTTGAGGGTTTCTTTCTTTTCCGTTTTTTGACTGCCTTTTTGTTGTTGTTTTTAACTAATTTACCTAAACGGAACATGCCTCTTCTACTGTTTGCGGCAGTTTCCCCTCTGTTTTCAGAAATTATCATTTTTATATTTTAGCCTATGAGTTACCCTTATTTCTGCATAGCTTAGTCTCTGTCAATGACTGGTGGTTGTAGTCAAACACCAGTAAGTCTTCCACTGTCTCCTGGTGGATCTGCATGGGAGTACCTTAAAAGTTCAAATAGTTTCCAAGTCTGCTATGACATTTACCTTCTGCCTGGTCCTCTTGGATCTGCTCTCTACATGTGCTCAACCTACTAGTCATCTAGGAATGTGTGGAGAGCTTGGGCTGTCTATGGCGCTGCATGTTTATGCAGCTTTCTTGGCCTCCAGGGAATGAGTTTCTCAAGTCTCTCTGTGACTTTCTGATTTCCAGGATCTTCCTGTTAAATTTCTGGCCAGTTCTTTTGTGGGCTGTTGTACCAACCAGGACTAAGATCTCAGCCTAGGAGAACTGTAGGCTTTTCCTATTTTCCACTGTGAGTGTGGTTTTTCCACCCTCTACTCACAAACATGTCAGCCCCCTTTGGCAAAAAAAAGCTGCTAGTTTTTGTAGCCAGCCCCACTCTAGCAGTATTACCATGTTGAATGAGCTGGGGTGAGGAACAGCACCTCAGGAGAGAATGCTACAGACTGCCTGAAGTCTTACTTCAAGCTCAGTATTGTTTTTAAATAAAGAAACTATTCTCAATTTGTTATTTATGATTGATTTCTAGAGATCTAAAATGGTAGTTTTTGACAAATTTGCCTGGTTTTGTTTTATTTTATTTTTAAGTATAGAATGTTGACTTTTTCCGTTCTTCATAGTTGGAAATCTGCTTTCATTTGGCTTTTGGCCTGCTAAATTCTTACCGGCATGTCAGATCTTAAAAGGTTTCTAAAGATATGCTTTACAATGTTTTTAGGTTTTTCTCAGTCAGAGGATGAGTCTCGATATCTAGCCAACTATATAGAAGACAGTTAATAATTTATCTGCTTTTATGACTATTAAGTGAAACTTTAAGCAAAGAATTTAGCAAAGTCTCTGTAACAAAGGGGCTCAATAAACAGAATTTACAATATCTGAACACTTACATTGTAGGAATTATACTTATATTATCTTAATATCTCAAAGAGGTAGGCAATCCCATTTCAATATTAGCAATAGCAACATAAAAAGATTTACCAGACCAAGAATATATAGGTAGTATGTCAGGATTTCAATCCAAATATACTCAACTCCAAAGCTAGTGTCTTCCCTACTTTACCATGCTGCCTTCCTGGTGAAGGAGGTTTCAGTGGCTGCTTTTTGGGAGATACCCTGTAGACTATCTAGGACATAGTAAGAAATTAAATCCATTATAGGGATTAGAAAGAGGGCTTATTGTTATACTAATTGACAGTGACCCAAAACACAGTGGAGGTACATATAGATTCCTAAAAGCAGACAGGGCTTTTGCTAAGATAATGTGAATGACTGAAAGTAATAAGGTTTTAGGGTTCTATATGATAGTTGCCCGAATTCCAATTATATATACAGTGAACAATTAAATATGAACTAAGACTACTACAAAAATGCCTAAACAACTGAACTACATTCTATTTCAAAGTTTATAAATATATTTGGGAATTAAGTAGCAAATGCTGAGGAAGATGACCCTTTTGGGCTGAATCTTACAGGGTGGTAAAGCTCACTGGGGTGATCATGAATCTGTTCTCCAGTTCTGAATATTCAAAAACTAGAGTGTAAGCTACTGTAAAAACCTTCCTAATTAGTCTCTCCACTTCCAGTTTCTTCTTCTCTTTGCTGTGTTCTTTATATGCTTATCTCACAAGTTTTTCTAAAACATTCTTTAATGGTGTTGCTTCTGTGTGGTTTCTTACTGTTCACTAGTATTTCCTTAATTCTTCATCCAAAGGCCTCTATAATCTGCTTCTCAGTTTACTACTCAGCTCTTTCTCTCAGAACTCCCTGTCCCTGGTGGACTCATTTACCTTCTTTTATCCTCTACTCTCACCACTTTCATTCTCACCTCCAAACCACTGCTTATTCCATTCTCCTTCTTTGTTCTTTTTTGCCCCCTCCCATTGCACCTTTTCCTGGAGCATGCTCTTTTCTAGATTTCATCCACTCAAATCTTACAAGTTCTTTTAAATCTACCTCCTTTCATTCATTCAATGGACAGTGTCCATGCCATGAAGTGTAAGCTCCCACGAGTGCCTTTCCCATGTAGTTTATCAAACAATATATTATCATTTAAATTCCACATCTAGCCTCGTTGTGGCTCCACTTTAGGGGGAAATCTCATTCTGGTCCAATGGATATATCACTTTTATCCCACTTTTGGCTGCCCCCAACTGTAATATGTTTAGTAGACAGGCCCTTCATCCCCTTGAGTGATACATCTATCCTAGGTGATCTATCATAGGTTAGGGATTGTCTCTTCTGGGCCTGTGACATAGTATATGGTTATAACAAAGTAAGAAATATATATCAAGAGAAAAAACTTAATTATAAGTGAATCTCATAACTGAGGTAGTCATAAATTATGTTGTGTAATATTCTTGTTATTAAAATCATAAAATAACTACTAATGCTTGAGTGCATTAATTATTTTGCTTCATGCTGTGCAAACAGCTAAGAGATAATGGCCTCCCTTCAGTAAAAAAAAAATCATCATGATAATACTTTCTATTTAAATGCTTAGTTTGCTTCCATTCCCTATTTCATATTTCTTCCTTGCCATTTCTTTGCTATCCATCATCTTCCCCATGTTTTTCCTGTTAGCCATCAATGCAGATTGGATGAAATAAAGAATTGGCATAGGTATCATTTCATCAGTCCAGTCAACCTCCCTGCCTCATTGTTTCTTTCCCATACTTAGGGAGGTGAGGGAAGGTGATAGAGAATAATGTTAGGCAGATGGAATGTACTTAAAAGAGCTAAGGACTTAACAAAACAGGAAAAATCAAGGAATGGAGAAGGATAGGGGATACATAGGGGATGTTGTGGAATTGTTTTTACCCATCTTAGTGGAACTGAAGTCTTTTACCAATTCTTGTTAGTTATGGTTAGTACAAGACCATACATATAAGAAGTACAAGACACACATAAGAAAAAAGTGCATTCAAATGAAAATTGTTTGATAACACCTCTCTAGAAATTTGGTGGGTTAGGCAAAATGAGGATTGGCACAATCTGTGGCACAGTCTTACCTATAGTGGCTTTCTCTTCTAATGGCACAGATCCATCACAGTTGGTGCAAAGCCCACATTTCATTGACTAAAAGTGACCAAAGGCCTATTCCTATTTCAAAGTATATTACTTGGTAGTATATATAAGGATGTATCATTATTGTTTTTACATTCCAAGGCACTTGTAAATGCCATAAAAATAATTTTGCTCTCAATATGTCAATGGACTTCCTTTAATCTTATTTGACTGTACTCTAGAAAACAAGAAATAAAAGACAAAGTTCAGCTAGTTGTATATAAATTTGAACTGGAATACAAGTGCAAAGGAGAACGTTTCATTTTTGCTGAGGCAAACTGCTGAGGAAAATAAAAGTAGTTATACTGTTAGCAATCTGCTTCTTCTTACCCAAAACATAAATCTCACTGTTGACTACAGCTGTACTGAATCGGTACTTAGAGTACTTCATGGGTGCCCGCACACTCCATTGATCTTGGCTGGGGTCATACTGCAACAGTTTGTTGCTTAATCGATCAGGTTCTTCATCAGGAAGATCCATCTGTATGAAATATGACAGCCAATATAATAACATATCATTTAGCAATCTTTGTGAGTACATGAATGCAATTAATCAAAGCAGACAGCCAAGGAGATAAATAGAGGTTAACTGCAGTGACTCATACTCACAAACACACCAAACCCCATGACGGGGGTTATAAGTATACTGTCAATATCAGAGGAATTTATATTCTGAAATAATGGGCCAAAGGTGCATGGTTATAGCAAACAATTTGTGATCTTAGCAGTGAGACATTCATTACAGCTTTTTTTTTTTTAAAGAAGCAACTGCAAAGCCTTAAAAACAAAACCAAGCTCTCTTGAATAGTATTTAAAGTGTAATTCTATTTTACCAAACTTTATAGTAGTTGATTTTAATATTTGTGAGAAACTAATTTTAATAATTTAGAAGGCATTTTCTTTATATTTTTCTAATCCACATGAAACAAAGTTGCCAAAACATTGTAGTGTCTTCATAATTATTTTTACACCATAATTATGGCCTATATAGGAATGGTGTAAATTCAATTTTCAAGATTTATTGACTAATATAAATTATTTGCAGTTATTTTAACATACTTATTTTATATATTTTTAATGACTAGAGAAGGTACAAATTAAACAACCTTTTCTTACACAGATGTGGCTTTTCCTATTCATAAATGTTAGGTGAAATAATATTTTTTGTATACATGTATGTGGAACTTAATATGACTTCAAGCTAAGGATTCATGAGTGCCATTTTTTTGGGATACAAGTGTTCAACAAAGAAATAACTGGCATACTTATGAAAGTTTATGCAATTAATTTTAGTTAACCACTTTAAATATACCAAGAGTTATGCTCACCATGGCACACGCACAACCCTGTGTGATCTTGCAATTGTTATACAAGGTACTCAATCGGGTAGCAAAGCCTTTCCTCTATGAGGTAAACGTTCATGTTATCTGTTCAGAAACTTTATAAATTAACAAACGTTGACTTTATGGTTTTAATTTTCCTTCTAATTTAAGTATTTAATCTCTATTTTAGTGAAAAAATGCAAAGAAAAGCCTCTAAGTTGTTTTTGGGGCTTATGCATGCAAAATTAACTATGTAAATGGATAGTTTTAAAAAAGTTTAATTACAAATAATCTGTCAGGTTTCTCCTGCTAGCTGTGATGAAATCTGTACTACTTTTTGACATATAGCAGAAAAAATTAAATGTGTTACATGTGAGGTTTAAGTTTTTAAAACAGGTATGATATACTATATATAAATGGCAAAATCCAAGCTTCTGGAATGAATGCAAATAGCATCAGTTTTATCATGAAGAAAACTTGGAGAAACAAAAAATAATACAGGCAAAAATAAATTTACTTTATGCCATGAGGATGACCAATGAGCTAGTGAGATTAATTTTTATTAGAAAGTCTGGCTGGCCAGGGCATGAGGCAGCTGAAGTGATCCTAAGAAGAGTGCTCCAAGGCACCAGGAGAGGACATCCGGAGGGGAGGGAGAAGGCCACCATGGCCACACACCCCTGACTTTTCACTTTGGTTTGCCATCACTTCACTGGGCTTCAATAGAAACAGCATTCTGGGTTCTCTGCCTGCTGATGCCCAATAAAAACATCAAGTGTTACAATCACAATATGCTTGCATAGAAACGATTGTGCCATCACAGATCGGTATTCTGGTGTCTCACTTAGAGTAAGAATTTTAAATATGGAAAAGGCCTATGAGTTACTTGCCTCAGGTCACAGAGCTATTAGACACACAGAACTGGATGAGGATCCAGCTTCTCTTCCTCCTAGTTAGATGCTCCCTACAGATAATCCCTCAGCACAAATATCTTTCATAATTAGCAAAAATGGGAGGATTATAAAGAGCACAGCATGAAAACTGAATCAAGTCATGTCTATGAAAACACACTTTAAAAATCCATTCTCCTAAATTGCTTTAACACTTTAAAACCTTGAGTTATATTCTATAAAACAGAAAGCATTTTACCAAAATGTAAGTCACACTCTTTTAGCATTCAACAACTACAACAATGTTTAACATAGCAGCCAGACTCAGTATAGCCATGCCAATTATGTATACAGGAAATTTCTTAACCTGAGGGGTCCAGCCTCCAATTACATAAAGTTTATTATTCACTGTCACTACAGCATGACATGCCAATTGCAGTGGAAGGGGAGACACCCTTTTCCAATTGTCCCGTTCTACAGAGTACTTATCAACACAGTTTGTAATAAGATACTGGTTTTTAATTTTCATCTGTCCTCCTATAACATAAAGGTCATTATGAATACTGCCCAGAGCATAGAGTTCTCGAAATTCAGCTGTGCATAACTTTTCCCAAAACTGGTTTCCTCTATCATGATACCTGCAAAAGAGAGAGAGAGTATCCAGGATTAGAGGTAACATGAAAGCAATTTACCCAAGAAATACACTTATTTATTTTCTGACCAAAAATAATGAGATATGGTTCTTCCAATTGGAGGACAAAAAACATTAATACAAGAAAATGACACAGGTTTGCTTTTTTTTTAAGGAATAATGAACAAAATATAATGTGCTTTAAAATAATTAGCCACATATACCTGAAGAGTTTTGGGGAAAATATAGAGAAAAAGTATAGATTTTCCAGGAGTAGCCTTCATTTTCTAATTCTGGGAAAGAAAATCAAGAATGGATAGAAAGTTTTTAAGCAAATCATTTTTAATTTTACCATAAAAGTAAGCAAAAATACAAGAATGCCTTATTCTGTGGACAAGAAATATCACTTTCATACGAACATTAAAGAAATCACAGTTTTAGGGCAGAGAATCTAAAAACATCTCAATTCACAAATTTCTCTCAGGATGATTTAGAATATGTAGAATTTTAAGAACTGTTGTAGTTCCAACTGGCTTACAACTGGGTCAAGAGCACTGTATAAAAACCTACCTGTAGATGTCTGCTGGGCACTTAACATCTATTTTAATCTACTAGATGTGGCAATTTCAGTAATTTCTTCCAGAGTATCACTCTAAGAGTCTTAAGAACTAGGGACATTAGTATATATGGTCTCTCAATGCCTTCTAGAGTCCAACACATTAACTGATTATGTGTGTGATGGGGCATTGTATGGTCACTGGGTAGATGAGTTTGTGGCTATTCTTTGTCTTGCATCATGATTATGATAAGTCTTTATCTCCAATCATGATTGAAGATACACAGTCTGAGAAGGACAGAAGTACTTCATGGGGTTGGTCAGAGGGGTAAAATATGTGAAATTAAATGTCCCAGAAAATCCAGAAAGTATATCTGGAATTCAAAATTAAACACACACACACAAAAAAACAGGAAAACATGGAAATTAAGAAAAAAGTTGTTCTGTTTGGAAACAAATTAGGAACTTATGTGTGTTTTATACAGAGTACAATTTTTAAGTATAGACGACTTATTTTGCATTTAACACCTCACAGTTAATTCTATGGTAGGAGTTTTTTCCAGTTGTCTAGGCCAACTCTTAACGTTCTTTCCCAGAGAGACATCTTTACTTGAGGCTTGACAGGGCAGTTAGAAGGCATGCTCCTTTCTAAGAGGGTATGTCTGGCTTGTCACAGCTGAATGTAGAAATTTATCACGCCTTATGATGGCTGTCTTCTATGTAATTCTAGGCAGAGAACCAAAGTCTCTAGAATCACAGGCAATATTTTTGTCACTATTTTTAATTGTATGAATTTTAGAAAAGAAAGGAGGAATAGGTATCTGTAATATATGTGGGGGCTACCAAAGTAAAGCCAACTGAATTAATATATAAATGAACTTTAAAAAATGGGTTTGGGTTTTCTGAGACATAGTTAAAGAAAATAGGCTAGGAATGAAGTACATCCCATAAAGGTTAGAAAGTAGATGTTTGCTGGGTGACTTCCTAATCTGATTTTTGTTTTCACATTTAGAACTGAAACAGGGAGAGAAAATACCCAGATAAAACTCTAAAACTTAGTATTAAGTGGATATGACATAAAAAAGAAAACAATAGTGACAAAGGCCTTCATTGTTAATAGAGATTGATAGTTTAAAGACAAATGGAGATAAGTGAAGGAGATGGAAAGGTACATCTTTTTAAAAAATAAATAATCTTCCAGAGTACTAGTCTACTTCCTCTTTTAAGTCAAGAAGAAATATATCTGCATGGAAATCTATGAGTAGAGGCAAGCTGAAGAACATCTGGACAAAGATAAAAAGAATGAGATACACAAATAATATAACAGGGATGTAGCACAGGATGATAAATTTCTTATGCATATCACAAAACTGGCACTACAGTAACCTTCAGTAGTGCTAGGAGATTTTAACTACACAGAACATCAGCTGGAAGTCTCATTTAAGCCTAAAGCAATGCTTCTGACAATTTCATTATTGGAAGAAATGATGGGAGTAACTAATAACTTTTACTCTAACTCTGACCAATGTGGAGGGTGAGACGGTTGGTGATGGGAACCTGGTTGAGTTCAAGATAAACAGGAAGGAAAACATGGGGTATATAGTTAGACATTTGCTGTTAGAAAGGGAAATGGGCTCTCAATAAGTTAAAAGGAAAGACGTCTGAGGACCAAAACTGAAAGACACTTTGACAGGGTTGGAGGTTTACTAAAAATAAGATGTGATGGCAGAATTGTAGACTATCTTGAGGAGGAAGAAAAAAAACTATGTAAAGAACCTGAAGTACCAGGTCAAGAGATTCTAAGGTGGAAAGAAGGGCACCCAACCAAGAGCAAGTGTAAAACTGGTGGCATGGACCCCTGAGAACCACATCAGGAAGTCAAGGCTTCCTCTTCCTGTGGGGATCTGCTCTCCTGGCTCTGTAGTCTCTCCCTGATAATTCTGAAGAAGGCTGCTCCTGTGGCTCAGGGACATGCTTGGTACCCATGGGCACGGGTCTAGGTCACCCAGCCAGGGCTCTGCATTCTTTCTCCTACTAGGGGAGATTAGACACATCTTCAAAGTATGAATGTGGAAAAGGGACAGGACTATGGCTTGAGACAGATAATGTAATGCTAGGAGATGACAGACAAATAGTAGACCTCTTCATTCCCTCTTTAGTCCCATCTTTACTGCTAAGAATTACTTTCTGACTGAAATGTCTGAACAAACCATGGTAAAAGAGAACTGAGAGGAGAAAAATATTGGGGGAAAGTTTTACTATGTAGTATTTATTCCATGTGCATATTTCTAATTTTCTCACTTAGATTTAAGTGCTAAATACTCATTTAATACGGGCTGAATAAACAGTAAATAAACCTATTTGTTCTCATAAGCAAAACCTAGATGATATGCTACTTCTTAGCAGGCATTCTTTCCTCTTACTACAATTCTAGGATTAAAGCATTCTTCAACTACAAACATTTTACAGTGTTGGAGATTTAAGCAAAATCCACAAATTAAGGACATAGAATGAAAACTGACAGATTATTAGTAATTTATGGTTAAGGAAAAAATTACTTATTGCTCTAAATTACGAACTAAAAAAAAATTCAAAGGAGTCTGTTTTAATAAACTTTCCTTCTTGTTATATTAAGATCTTTAAAAACAAAGCAGTATATTAAACCCTATATATGGATAAATAAAGCTAAGATTGAAAACTAAAATGGGATCATAACAAACACATTTAACTTATGCAAATTCAACTATATGTTAACAAAGGAAGAGAAAAAATTTTAAAATGTGGGAGATTTAATTATGAAAGTTATATATATGCTACATTTATATTTTATATAATATACATTATATATTTATATATTTTTATATATGCTATATTTATGAGTTATAGATTATATATATATATAAATGTATACACACACACACAGACACACAAAAGCATGTTCTGTATACTATTCCTTATGGGAGATGTATAGGGTAATTTTGACTACAAATAATTTAAGATGTGATGACTTTTTGCAGTTCTTTCTTCTACTGCTGCTAGTATCAAAACAAAATAATTAAGCAAATTTGCTGCTAGATACAAACCTATAAATTTCAACATTCTTGTTCTTTTGTCTAGAGAGTTTAGAGGCACTTGCTTCTCCAGCCACAATTATAGTATTATTTTCCATGACAACACCAGTACACACAGTTCCTAAACCCTCTCCGTACTTGGGAGATGAGATGAAATAGGTTTTCCGTGATACAGGATCATAACAAAAACTGGCATCCCCATAGCTCCTATGTCTTGATCTGATTCCTGAAGAATTGTTGCCAATGCAAAGCAGAAGACTGGTAGTCTCCATACCATAGCGCAGATTTAGAGAGTGCTGTTGGGGTGTCTTGATGGCTTTGAATGCATTTTGAATTATGTCAACACAATCTGCATCACACAGAAGCATTGTGTTCCTTCTTAGGGCTTGTCTTAAAAAAGAAGGATTTACAAGTTCCAATCTGACTTGCTTCAAAAGCTCAACAAGATGCACTGTACGCAATTCTTTGTTATGATTTACCCATCTCAGAACTAAGTCCAGAATGCTCTCTTCTCTGGATATGTTAAGATCATCTGATTTAATAAGTGTCAAAAATTGGTGCACTTCGATTTCTAGTATTTCTTCATGTAAGCTCACCTCGGCAAAGTGCTGATATAAATATTTCTTTGATCGATCAGATAAATCTTCAGCTCCAATCTGCTTTGCAAAATAATAGATACCTAAACAGTTGGAGGCATCCATGTGGTCCATCATATATTTTTGACACACACTGAAGACTTCTTCCATCTGCATAAAATAGGCAGCCATAGCTACAGTCTGTACATTGGCATTATTGATCTCCAAAGCTGCATTGTACATGTAATTTAATAACACCGACACACTTTCTGCTGTGATGTCATAAAGTATGACTTCCCTTTGATTACATTCAAGTAGTCCACAGGTGAACATAGCTTTGAAATAAGGGCTAAATGCAGCCAGGACCAGTCTGTGGCAAGGAAATTTCTCTCCTTCTGCTGTGAGTACCACATCAATCATTTCTGCTAATTCTTTCATGTTCTGAATTTTATTCAGTAAATTCAAGCTATGTTGGTATTTTTCTTTTCCCTCAATCTTGCACTCCATGATCTACTCTCCAAAGTTTCCAACTAAGTCTTCTTTAAGTGTAGCTTGATTCCTGAGGGGCTATTTGCATGTCTGATTACTCATGAAGCTACAAAGATGTCAGGAAACATTTCTAAGGGAAAGAAAAAAGGCAGTTTCCTTCTAAGAAAAAATTCTCTATAATTTAGATATGCAGCATTAGTTCTAAAAAAAGTATTTATAAACAGATATTATTCACTCCAAGCAGAGCAGTTTAAGACAACTACTTTTGTATCTAAAAATATTAATTTTGATTACGTAAACAGTAATAAATTAACTGCTGTGACAAATTCTCCTAATCAGTGGCAGAGATTTTTCTAGGACTGCAAAGATTTCCCTCCCAACATGTATAGAAAGAGAAGTGATAAGCTGGGCACATTTTGCAATTCCATTTCCAGTTACCAAATACAGCTGACCTGCAGGCAGAGGGTATAGGGGCATCAGTTAATATTCTCTCCAAGGAGATGCAAAATCACCCCAAAGGTTATATGCATCCCCTCCAAAAAATACACCGAACTGTTATAATAGTCAGTCCATAAATTCATGACTGGGGCCTTGTACAATATACCCTGGAAGAGGAAAAACTGAAAAAAGGTCCACTAAAATTCTGCTCAAACTTTGATGTGGGACAAATAATTCAAAGCAGTAGATAACACAAAGATTATATCTACTGGGCTTTGGAAGGCACTACCAAATGTCAGCTGATCTGAAAAGTCACAATATTTAAAATATACAACTAAATTACCCTAAACTTAGAAAATGCCTAAAACTATATGATTTCTCTGTCCTCCCTCCTTGCTCAGCTTTTATTTTTTCCCCAATTCATAGTGGCAGAGACTGAATCTCTCTTCACCTTAAAAAGCATTAGTCTAAATTTTTTAAAGTTAGCTGTCTCATCTTCACCTTCCCTGGATAAATGGAAATGGGATGTTTCAAGGAAGTTAATTTAAATTAGCGTTTGTTTTAAAGAAGGACATTCCTAGAGTCAGAAACCTTAATGTTAGAAGAGGATCTCAAGTCTCTACCACCTTTTCCAGTTCTAACTTGGCTGTAAGTTGCAAGCAGTGAGAATAACATTGATGGGAAAAGTTAATACATTTCTAGATTATGAGTAAGATAATATCCTTTTGGGGTGACTATTCTCCACTTCTCTGCTTAAACCCAGCTGAAGAGTTTTGAGAAGTGAAATGGTCCTGTTTTAAAAAGAGCATCTGGATATCCCCAGATTCCCAAACATAAATCAACTTCTTGAATAAATATTTTGCTTGGATGCAGTTTGTCTGTCTCAAAAACATTGGCTTTGACAACAACCACAAAAAACAATTTATTTGAAAACGGAAATAACTGGCCTATATGTATTTGTTGTATCCCTTCCTTCCAACTGCATTTCATACAACTCCTGAAAGCTACTCTAATTGTTAGGGGTTTATAGACCAAATGAATTTACTGATGGAAATCCAGAAAAATACCTGGGCAGTTATATTAGCCACCACACCTCAAAAAAACATTCTCAGCTTTGTTTCTTGTACATATAAGGTACATAGAAGACACTCGCATTGTACATGGGGGCTTTCCCTGGTTTGGATCCCAGTTTAGCCTAAACCTTGGCTTCTTCATCTGTAAAATGGGAATAATGTACACAAGTAAAGTAGCTAAGTTAGTCTTTGGCATCCAAATGATCAATAAATGGACATTATTATTAGTTTCCAGTGATATATCATAGTAAGCTCAAAGGTTAGGAACACAGATTTTGGCTTGGGTGACCGAGACCTGGTTTTGAATCCTTACTCTATTATCTAGCAATATTAACACGTTCCTTAGCCTCTTTATGTTCTAGTTTTCTCACCTGAAGTTCATTTTGAGAATTCCATAAGAATATTCAGGAGAATTAAATAAGGCCATGCATGTACAATATGCAATTTTCTTGGTAAAACTGGCTTGGTAAAGGTGAAGCAGGATATATCTATATATTTTTCAAATAATAAAAATATTTGGGTACATATACAAACCACTGTGGGTATAGACACAGCTCCTAAGTGAAGAGAGCTGATAGTAACTTTCCCTTGTAATGAGGGCAAAGTACATTCTCCTTTCATCAGCAAAACAAAACTGTATAAATGTTCTCGGTGATATAAATGGGAAGTTACTCACTGCTTCAATTTATAGAAGACTGAACTGGTGCATTCATAATAATAGTACTCATAGTAATAGAGAAAAATGGAGTAGCAAAGATGCATATAAATCACAAGAATAAACTCTAATTACTTTCTAAGTCCAAAAAGCAGTTATACTCCTGTCCACTATATTTCATTTTGAGAAATGGACCACTGTAAATATTAATGTGGTGCAAAAAAAGTCAATTTCTTTAAGCCACGAATGTTTGACAGTGTTTAATTTTATAATCTTTACATTATCTTTACTATATTATTTTTACTGCTTAAGTTGCTACTTTCTCGAAATAATGGTTGATATATGACCGTGCCTTCTTTTCTAGGAAACTCTCCATGTTCTGCTGAAGTTTCACTAGTTTAAATTCACAGCAGCACTGTTTGAAATAGCAAAAATTTGGAAATAACTTAAACATCCCTTAATAGGAGATCAGATTGTAGTATATTCACTAGAGAATATAGTACAGCAAAAAAAAAAAAAAAGAATGAACTAGATCTACATGCGTCAACATGGCTGTATCTCACAAACATAATAATGTGTGAAAAAGACTGTAGAATATACATGCCACATACCACTGATATATTTCTAATATGCAAAGCAATATTATATGTTCTAATAGAGTAAATACTGATGATCGATTTCAACAAAGTAAGTATGAGCATTTGGTGAATCTGGCATAGGGCATATAGGAGTTTTTTGTACCATTCTTGGAACTTTTCTGTAAGCTTGGAATTGTAAATTCTTTAAGGATCTGTACAACTGTAGTGGAATATAAAGACATGAAGGGTAATTATAAACCCCAATTTCAAGACAGTGTTTCCCTTCAGGAGTTGCAGAAAAAGAGGGATGCAAGTGGGGAAGGATGACAAGGAGTTTCAACTGTATAAATGTTTAATTTCTCCAGCTGTTTGGTGGGTATCCAAGACATGCTTTATTATTCTTAATGCCTCTTTGTATATCTTAAATATTGTATAAGTTTAAAATTTTAAAAAACTGCATTAGGGTCACAGCTTTTGAAAAACCTCAATGTTGTAAACCATGTAAACCATGTGTGAATTATCAGATTTACATATACATATATATATATATTAGAGAGAGAGATAATAGATACATCATGAATTTTCTTTTTAATGTGTCAGGGTGTAGGTAGCCCAATTTATGAGTGATTGGAAAAAACAAAAAATTATGACCTCCTTATCTAGTCTGAATGAAGACTGCTTTGAAAACTGTGGTTATAGCCCTCCCTCCACCTCAATATCGCTGGCATCCGCCTGTATGAGAGGGAAGAGCAAATACAATTCCTAATCCTGCTTCAGTGGGAAAAGAAGTTACTGCATTCCTAAACTGGCATGTATTTTCTCCCATAAAAATGTTCAGTGTGAACTTTGGGAGGCCGAGGTGGGTGGATCACAAGGTCAAGAGTTCGAGACCAGCCTGACCAACATGGTGAAACCCCGTCTCTACTAAAAACACAAAAATTAGCTGGGCATGGGGCTTGCGCCTGTAATCCCAGCTACTCAGGAGGCTGAGGCAGGAGAATCACTTGAACCTGGGAGGCAGAGGTTGCAGTGAGCCAAGATCGTGCCACTGCACTCCTGCCTGGGTGACAGGCTGTTTAAGTTATTTCCAAATTTTTGCTATTTCCGAGACCGTGTCTCGGAAAAAAAAAAAATTCAGTATAGTGAGTAGCTTATAATCATGATAGAGTTGATCAACATCAAACCCACTGATTTTTATCGAGGAAAGACTGAAGACAAGAGAAATGACTTGGACAGGGCTAAATTCCAGTCTGTGGATAGGACAGGAGCAGGGTCTTACACTTTGTTCCTTGGCAATCCAAGGAACATCAACATTATGATGTCAGAAAATGATGTCCCAGTTTCACTGTTTAAAAAAAACCATTTTTAAGGGTGGGATCCTTTTGTACATTGGTCACTACCGTGTATAAAGTTATTACCCCACATTACAAAAATATCCCGGGCCTGTTTTCACCAACACTACCCCTCATTCAGGCATTCTGGCGCCTCCCAAACTTTCCTGCCTCGTCTCCTGACTTTCCTTCCTTATATTTTTCAATCTTTGAGTAGTACCAAACTACTACAGTTCTAACGCATATGGGCCTTTAACACGCTGTTCTCTTTTCTTTTTCTTTTTTTTTTTTTTGAGACGGAGTCTCGCTCTGTCGCCCAGGCTTGAGTGCAGTGGCGCGACCTCGGCTCACTGCAAGCTCAGCCTCCTGGGTTCACGGCATTCTCCTGCCTCAGCCTCCTGAGTAGCTGGGACTACAGGCGCCCGCCACCACCCCCAGCTAATTTTTTGTATTTGTAGTAGAGACGGGGTTTCACCGTGTTAGCCAGGATGGTCTCAATCTGCTGACCTCGTGATCTGCCCGCCTCGGCCTCCCAAAGTGCTGGGATTACAGGCGTGAGCCACCGCGCCTGGCTAACATGCTGTTCTGTCTTTACACGTGTAAATCTGTGTCAGAAATATCTCCCCCATCTACCTGAAAAAATATAACCTGGTCTTCAAAATTCAGCTCAGATATCACTTCCTCACTGACGCATCCCTTTGCTTTCTTGCCTGTGTTGTGTACACTGTGGTTGCTGCACTGCTATTGCCATTCACTTTTGCAGATGCTTGCCTCTCCTGTCAATGATGAGCACACTGCGGGTAAGGGACTTGTCTTCGTCACTTCTGTATTCTTGAAAATGTTTACTTATTTATTTTAGAGACAGGGTCTTGCCCTGTTGCCCAGGCTGGGACCTCAGCCTCCCCTGTAGCTGCACCACTACATGCACCACTATGCCTAATTTATTTATTTATTTTTTGTAGAGACAGGGTCTTACTGTGTTGCCCAGGTGCGTCTCAAACTCCTGGCCTCAAGCAATCCTCCTGACCTGGCCTCCCAAAGTGCTAGGATTATATGCTTGAGCCACCATACCTGGCCATTTCTGTATTCTTGTCTGTGATGACACTTAGCACACAGGAGTTGCTCAATACGGTTTGTTCAATTAAATTAATGCTTTGTTTAGTCCTAAATTACAAGTTAATGATAACTTTTCTCTAGGTTTTGTACATGATAATAAAAGATTATATTCAAGATTTTTTCTACATATAAAATTTATTGTGATACTATAAAATATTTATTTGGTGTTTGCCCTTTTCCTGACATACAACTCCTAAAATCCTTGGAATCTCCAAAGTGATAAATACCTTTCTGTACACTAATGAGTTGACTGAGGGCTGGCAGCCTCTAGAGCTTCAGGATAGGAGCTGGTCCCCGGAAAGAATAAGGCAGGATTAGAGCATTGGGACTTTCAGCTCCATCCCCTGACCTCCAGGGAGAGGAGCAGAAAGTTAAGTTGATCACCAATCAAGCATGCCTATGTAATGAAGCCTTCCTAAAAACCCCAAAAGGACAAGGTTTGGAGAGCTTCCAGGATAGCTGAACATGTGGAGGGTTCCCGAAGTGTGGTGCACCTGGCTGTACCCCTTCCCCCATATCTCATCCTATATATCGCTTCACCTGTATCCTTGTTAATATCCTTTATAGTAAACCGGAAAACTTAAGCGTTCTTCTGAATTCTGTGAGCTGCCCTAGCAAATTAAACCCAAAGAGGGAACCCCAACTTGAGATGGGTCAGTCAGAAGCTCTGGATGCTGGGACTAGTGTCTGAAGATAGTGGTAGCCCTGTGGGACTGAGCTCTCAGCCTGTGGGATCTGACGCTGTCTCCAGGTAGATGGTGTCAGAATTGCACTGAGTTAGAGGACACCCAAGCTGCTGTCTGCTGCAGAACTAAGTGATTGGTTGCTGATGGGGAGAAGTCTCCACATACCTCTTGGTTAGCAGAGGTTACAGACATTTTCTGTGTTCATTGTGTGAGAGCAGCAGACAAACAGTTCTGTGTTTTTTCCCACTCGCCAACGCTTAATGCTTCAAGTTGCTATCCTCTTGTTCCAGTCAAATCATTCAGAATCGTGAAGTGACTCCCTTGCTTATAGCGTGATGCACTATGACACCCAGTTTTCACTTGCACCCTCAAAATTAATTCCCAGTCATTTGCTGTCTGGGATTTGGCCCCATTCTTAAGGAACTACTGAAGCCATGTATTGGCTTCACTTACGCCTGAGATTACAAATTGGCTGCTCAGTTTTTTTTTTTTTTTTTGCTTTTTGTTTTGTTTTTGGTAAATTAGCTGTCAACATGCTAAGCTGAAATATTCCAGCATCTACTGAAAAAAATGAAAGGTATGGCAACACTGAGTCCTTAATTCCCAAGCGGCAACAATGTGCAGGACCTGAGTACCCAGCTGCCACCTCTCAGCTGGCACATCTGCTGGGCCCCATTATCCTCTTTGAGACCTGAGGGACAGTCATTATTTGTAATTCTTACGCTGTTGCTTTTCTCTTTCCTGTCCATTTACATTATCCTACAGCCATTTAAGTTTGTGACCCCCAGTTTATACGATTACGTCTCCACACCCTATTTTGTTTCAGCAACACCATCTTGCTAAAATCCTACGCTTGCAGAGGCTGGTAGGAAATGGCTGAGAACACACGCACCACCCTAAATGTACTCTGTGCTTCTCACTAGCATGGAAAAAGACCTGATTCATTTCATAATAATCCATCCCACACACCGGGCATCCAGTAACAGCCAGGCACATGGATGATAAAGACAAATAAGACCAGTTTTCTTTTCTTTTCTTTGCCGAGTTCACACTGTTTTGCATTCTCACAGTGCTTTATACTTTTCAAAGTGCTTTAATCCGCATTATAGCTCATTAGTTCCTCTTAAGAATCATTTGGGGGAAAATGTAGGGCAATTATTCTCCTGGCTTTAAAGTTAAGAGAGTTGCTCAGGGATACATTCAGGGTTTATTAAACTTAAACGAACCCTTCTAAGTGCCAGGCACTATCCTAGGTTCCGGGAAGACAACCAGGAACAGGGAAGTGCCCCTTACCTTTGTTGTGCTTACAGTCTAGCGACGGAAGGCACAATAATACATTGGTCAGGTAATTCGGAGGATGATAATACTATGCAGACTACGAGCCTGAACAACCCGACGGTGAAGGTCGGAGACGGCAGAGATGGCCTGGAGGAGCAGCTCCTGGGAGCCCCACCTGACGCCAGGCGCCGGCCCACTGCGACTCGAAGGAAGTCACTTAGAGCCGAGGCTGCAAGTGCCGGTGGCCCCGGGTCGGCGCCCAGGTTCAACCTGGCCCGGAGTTGAGGCAGGGCTTGTGACTGGGGGCCGCGTTCCCCCGGGGCGCTACCCCTACTTACGAAGGTGCTGCCTGGTTCGGGGCGCGTCCCCACTCGCTGGGCCACGACCTGGCTTGGACGCTACCGTGTGGCAGGGCGGCCAGCGGGCCTGACTGAGGCCACTGCCCAATATGGGCCTGTGCTGGCTGGGCGATATAAATAGAGGTCCCGCGCCCTGCGGAGGAGGAGGGAGGGCGCTGGCAGCGCCTCCGAGGGGACAGGTGCTGCCCTCTGCTTGGAAGTGGCCCGAGACCACGCCGCCGCTGCCCTCCAGCCACTGTGCGCCTGCGCACCTATTCCCGCGCTGGTTCCAGACGGCGACTACAGCCCCGGTGTCGCTGCACAGGGTCTCCCCGCGCGCGTCCCGTACCCTACTGAGCGTCCCCCGCGGAACGCTGTGCGCCTGCGCAGAGTGTTCCCGCGCTGGCCCGCGTGCCAGAGCGACTGAAGGCCTGCGGGGAGGGGATGGGGACAAGTGTTTAAAGGAGGTTTGGAAATCGAGCTTTGAAAAATGCCGGTGTTCCCGTTAGTCTTTTACACTTGCAAAATGACCAAAAGACCCCGTGTGTAGTCTCACTGTGACCGGGGGGTAGGGTTGCCCGGTAAAATACATGAGCCCAGTTAAAGGTAAATTTCAGATACACAACCAGTAATTTTTAGTGTTAAGTATGTCCCAAATATCGCATGGTCAATTCACGTTTAACTCGGTGTTCCGGTTGGGTTTCGTTTTGGTCTTGTATTTTTATTTGCTACATCCTGAGCCATCAGCTTGTGATTTTTATACCCTACACCTCTCTGAGAGTGGGAGGTTTCCAGGAGTCCCGAGAAAGGACTGGTTAGCCGGGAGCAGTGCAGGGATGGGAAGTCTTCCTTAGGCAAGTGTCATAAAATACGGCAGCTGTATTAGCTCAGTTAGCTTAAACCAAAGCAAAATAAAACTGTTTTCAGTGGTGGCAACATAACTTTATTATCTTACTATTATTTTAGCTCTGTAGGTCAGAAGTCCAAAATATGTCTCACTGGATTGAAATCAAGGTGTCAGCAGGACTGTGTTTGTTTCTGGGGCTTCCTGGAGTGAATCTGTCCCTGCCCTTTTGCAGCTTCTGGAAACTGTCTTCATTCTTTTGCTCCTGGCTCCTTCCTCCAGCTTCAAAGCCAGAAAATAGGGCTGAGTCTTTCTCACATGCATTGTGTCTGCAGTTGGTTCCTTTCAGTGGGCTTGTGGTCTCCATCTCGCTAACTTCAAGAATGAAGCCACGGACCTTAAATGTTAAAGAAAGCTTTAAAGGTCACATGGACCCAAACAGTGAGGAGCAGCAAAATTTATTGTGAAGAGCAAAAGAACAATGCTTCCACAACCTAGAAATGGACCTGACTGGGTTCCCTGTGTTGACTGGGTGGCCAGCTTTTATTCCCTTATTTGTCCCTGCCCATGTCCTGCTGATTGGTCCATTTTACCAAGTGCTGATTGGTCCATTTTACAGTGTGCTGATTGGTCCATTTTACAGAGTGCTGATTGGTCCATTTTACAAACCTCTAGCTAGCCACAGAGAGCTGATTGGTGTGTTTTTACAGAGTGCTGATTGGCCCATTTTAGAAACCTCTAGCTAGCCACAGAGCGCTGATTGGTGCGTTTTACAATCCTAGCTGCAGAGTGCTGATTGGTGCATTTTACAATCCTCTTGTAAGACAGAAAAGTTCTCCAAGTCCCCACCCAACCCAGAAGTGCAGCTGGCTTCACCTCTCAGCATCACTTTGACACTAACTCTTCTGCCCACCTCTTCCTTTTTTTTTATTGTGGTAAAATATACATAACATAACATTTATCATTTTAATCATTTTTAAGCATAGTCAGTGGCATTATGTTAATAATGTTGTACAACCATATCCAGTATCCATTTCCAGAATTTTTTCATCCTCTCAAAAGAAACTTGGTACTCCTTAAACAATAACTTATTTCTCCCTCCCCTTTAGCACCTGGTAACCACTATTCTACTTTTTGCCTCTACGAATTTGCCTATTCTAGGTGCCTTATATGAGCAAAATCATACAGAATTAGTCCTTTTTTGGGGGAGGGGGATGGGGACGGAGTCTTGCTCTGTCGCCCAGGCTGGTGTTCAGTGGTGCGATCTCAGCTCACTACAACCTCTGCCTCCCCCGTTCAAGTGATTCACCTACCTCAGCCTCCCAAGTAGCTGGGATTACAGTCGTGCTCCACCACGCCCAGCTAATTTTTGTATTTTTAGCAGAGACGAGGTTTCACCATGTTGCTCAGGCTGGTCTGAAACTCCTGACCTCAGGTGATCCACTCGCCTCAGCTTCCCAAAGTGCTGGGATTACAGGAGTAACCCACCGCTCCTGGCCAGAATTTCTCCTTTTGTAACTGGCTTATTTAACTGAGTATAATGTCCTTTCTTTTCTTAAGGCTGAATAATATTTTTCTGTGTATATGTGTGCCTTTATATACCACATTGAAAACAAAACAGATTTTATATGGTAAGTAAAGTCCCTTTAAACATTTTAGAAGGTATTCATGTCAATGAAGAATGCTTGCATGCATTCGTATTTACACTTACTTTTTTTTTTTTTTTCCTTTTTTAGAGACAGGGTCTCACTTTGTCATCTAGGCTTGAGTGCAGTGGTGCAATCATAGCTCACTTCAGCCTCGAACTCCTGGGCTTAAGTGAACCTCCCACTTCAGTCTCCCAAATAGCTGGGATTACAGGTGTGTGCCACCATGCCTGGCTAAATTTTAATTTTTTTTAGAGAGAGATAGGATCTCGCTATGTTGCCCAGGATTGTCTCAAACTCCTGGGGTGAAGCCATCCTCCCACCTCAGCCTGTCGAGCATACACATACATACTTACAGTTATTTGGGGAAATTCCTGTATCCTTTCCCCACAAACATCCCTTGATCCAGTTAGTCCTAGTTAGATCCTTCTGCGACTATTTTCTTTCCTGCTTCTGGTTTTGTTTATGAGATGTTTGTGTGAACCTAATGAATCTTTCTCAGCTTGCTTTGAAGGCGCTGTTCAATTTCCTATTGGGCTACTTTATTTTACCTTTTTCATTTGTTTCAGGAAGAAGTGGAATATGCTATGAAGAGTCAGGGCTTGGGGTCTGGAGGCTAATTTAGATGCTGGGCCATATCACTGAGTGACTATAGTTGATTCTCAAAACATCCATGTGCCAAATGATTAATGAAGTATTAATATTTATCAAATCTACTGATTTATCAATAACTTGATTTAAGGAATATGCATCTGGAATATATCATATATGAATATGTACTTTTTTACTCAGCAGTAACTTACTATTCTTTTTCTATTTACTGCTCCTTCCTACTGGGTCTCTCTCTCTTGCTCTCGCTCTCTCTCGCTCTCTGTCTCTCTCTTCTTGAGGTATTTTCCCTCCTCTTTCTATTCAAAGCTTTATTTTCAGTCTTTGCTTTCTTACAGTGTTGAGTTGTTTCTCTGTATTCCTGTGTGCAGATTTTGTTATTTTTATATAATTTATTCCTTTATTCTTTGAAGCTGATCTACCCCTGTCTGGCTCCCTTTTATTGTGACTAGACTCTGGGCAGCTTTTTATTGACACAGAAACCATTTTTTTTTCCACACACCCACTCCCACTCCATATCATTCGTACCTTTTGAAGGAGGAATACACGTCTGAAATAGTACTTCTCACACAGCACAGCCTGGTTCTTGTCTTGAGCCAAGTCTGTAACTTGGCTTAAGCAGTTTCCTCATTAGATAAACCCTGGCTCTTAAATGAAAAACAAGCAACTTCATTCAATCCCCAAAACAGCCTGCCGCAGCACGAAGAGCAGCCACACCCCAGTGGTGCCAGCTTTCTTCTCTTTTTTTTCCATGTCTGCCCTCTTACTAGCTTGCACCAGTTCTGCTGCTGCATGATGTTGTCTGTGGAGTGATTTTTTTAAAAAGTATCAGCTGCTTCTTTCCATCCTCCTTCATCATGTATTTCCTTTAGGAGACTTTGTTCCTCTAATCCGTTCCAAAAAGTAAAACTATTCCAGGCTCATTGCCTCAGGGGGAGAGTCAGGCCGGTGGAAAACAAGGAGGGAATGGAGGAAATGGTCTCCTCTTAACACGTTCCATTCCAGAAGTCCAGGCCCTTTCAGGAAAGCCACGCGTTACTGGCATGCATGAAACATTTGGGCGACAACCTAAATTAGAGCAGTGCATCCTCCTGCCATATCCCCTTCCCCAGCTGAGGAGAGGAGGCAGTTTCTGAAGAACAAGGAAGGAGAGCATAGATTTTCCTAGGCTTTGAGGAAGAAGACCTGCATCCTGTTTGGCTGGACTAATTGTAGGGAGGCTTGTGGGATCTAAGGAGAGAAGGAATGGCTGTCTCCCTTGCTGAGAAGGGTCACAGGGAGGCAGCCAGAACCCAGTGGGCAGCAACGACTTCATAGTGTGGCTGAACAGCGAGGGCTCCAGACAGCTCTTCCAGAGGCCTTGGTGTCCCCAAGGCCCTGATACAGTAGAGAGAGCCACTGAACCAAGGGGGCCCATGCAGACAGGCACATAGGGAGCCCTCACACAACCAAGAACCAAGGACAGTGGACCTCTCTGTGGGTGTCAGTGCAGACAGATGGCAGACGTCGAGTTCCAGAAGGATGCCCCTTCCCCTGACTCTGGTGTCTTGGTAAGAGCCCCCCTCCCAAACTTAGAGGTGACCCTGGGAAAGGGGAAGGATTGGGCATCCTGGTGGCCTGGGGGCTTCAACTAGAACTTGTTAGCACAATCAGGTTCTGTTTCTCACACACATTAGCTTGTGGACTGTCACACACATCAGCTTGTGGACTGTCAAGATGGAAGGCTTGACATAATACAAGGTCTGGCCTGGAACCTTAGTTTCAGCATGCTACAAAGAGCACCTTGAAAGAGAGATAAGAAACAGGAGCTGAACTGATTACCACTATATAATTTGCTGATTCCTTTTGTCTTGTCTATTCACTCTCACCCCCAAATGTGAGCTCCCTGAGGACAGGGATTACATCTGTCGTGTTCACTGCTGTATTCCCAGCCCCTGGGAAAGTGCCTGGCACAAAGTAGGTACTCAGCAAATGTCAGCACAGTGAATGAACAAGTGAGTGGGTCAGAGTCTCAGTTACAGAGTGGAATTCATTCTGGCTTGTCTGGGAACACCACACAAGCGGGTTCAGATGTTACAGCCCTGGGAGTGATGGCTCTTCTTCAGCCAAAAGAAATGCCCCTGCCCCATGCTGCTCCGCCCCTGTTCCAAGACGGAACTCCAGAAGCTTCCACAGCTGCATCAGACTCTTCCCTCATAGTGCCTACCAGATGACTGTGTCTCTCTCAGGCTCCCACCTCCCCTCCACCTCCAGGTCTCCTGGGAGGGCCTCTGATGACAGAGGCAAGTCACAGGTCTGCACCCTGACTTTGGGATGGTCCAGGAAATCTAGCTTAAGCATTTCTTTGATCTGTGTCAGCTTCTCTAGTTGGAGGGTTGGAAGGTGTATTGCCCCTTGCCCCCTCCTCCTGAGGTTCGTGACCTGTGAGAAGCTAAACCACTACCACTGGAGAAGGCTAAAGGTGAGTGGCATCCTAAAGAGAGCTGGGGTGGCCACGTGGGGGACGGTCCAGAAAGCACAGAGGAGAGGCTCAGGAGGAAAGGAAGAGTGGAGAACAGGACTAAAAACAGCACGTAAAAAGCACTAGATGGTGATGACGTGGTAGAGAGCAGAGGCCAGAGGACTTGGAGCCTGAACTTGAGTGCTGACTTCCAAGAACAGGCTGGCAGGCCTGATGTGTTTAGTCTCACCCACTGCTGTGTGTGTGTGTGTGTGTGTGTGTGTGTGTGTGTACATCAATGCCTGCAGCTTCAGGGTCAGCACCTGTGGGAGGGTGGGGCTTCCAGCAGTCACAGCTCCTTCATTTTTTGTCCTTCCTAACTGTCCTGGTCTGAAGGGCTTGGAGCTCGGAGCATTGTTGCCAGGGCCCATTACATGATGCTCACCCTACAGAGCTTCATACAGTGGCCATGTGGACGTACCTGTCCTGTTTCCCTAGCCAACCCCAAGAGCTCCTGCAGACGAAGAACTCTGTCCTGTTCACCTTTATGGTCCACTCACCTGCCTAGCTCAGGCCCTTAAGAGAACAGAAGATCAGGGACTGATTTGAGGTTATTGAGAGGAAAAGCAGGTAAGCAAAAAGGAAGGTGGACCTGGGGATGAGATCCCTGGGGTCCTGGCCCGGCTCTGCTCCCTAAGACCTCTTGGCCTATGGAAGTCATTCAGATTCTTGGAGTATGATAGGCAAATGATAATGGGTCTGTCTCTCATCCATGTTATTAGGAGAATGAAATAGGAGAGCTAATGGGTGTGGAAGTGCTTTGATAAACTGTATAGTAACATGAAGTCATTTCCCCATAAGGCATGTGTTATTAATAGAAACTCCTTTCCTAAAGATCTTGAAAATGGGACGTAAAGCCTTCTCTTATTGCTGATCTTGATTTCATCCTGTCTTGAGGCAAGAGATGGACTGTATTTCTTTTGGAGGCTCTTCCACTTTAAGAGTGCATCTCAGGGAAGCATGGGGAATGGAGTTACTATCTGTGTCTTCAGCCACACTCTTCCATGCCCATGATGATAAGTCATGTTCAGACTTTCCATCCTTGGAGTATTTGAGGTTTTACACAACTTAATCTAGTAGATATTGGGTTTTTAAAAGGTCATGAAACCCTCCGGAAGCCAGCATTCTCTCCATATTTCAAGATTATTTCATTTCTGCCCACAATTAAATCCTCAAATCCTGAATATATGAATACTCAAATTCTGTTTTAGACAGGGTCCAAGTAGTTTCTTAACACAGGCAGGACTAATTGTTATTGTTTCATTATTAAGCAATGACCAGTGATCTTGTATACTGTATGAATTAAGATATATAGGCTTGGCTGCTCTAACAAAGAATTAGAATGAGGATTCCCTAAACCAGACAGAAGTGAATTCCCTTTCACACAACTGCTAAGGTGGGAGCATTCCAAGGCTCTAAAGTGGCTCCAGGATGTCACTGACTGCCCCCCGAGTTTCCTTCTCTCTTCTTGTTCCACCTTCCCAAAAGTATTGCTCTCGTCCACGTGCTCCAAGATGGCTCACCCTACCTCCAATGGGAGAAGGGAGGGGAGGGGGAAGTTAAAAAGAGGAAGGGGAAGTTAAGAAGAGGAAGGGGAAGACAAGCCCTTCCCTTTAAGGGCACACCCAGAAATCACACTTCACTTCTCATACCATTGGCCCTGAGTCACGTGGCAAACCCAGGGGGTTGGGGCTGGGAAATGTAGTCTTCCTGGGTGGCCAGCAGTTCTTTTATTCAGAAGAAGGGGAGGACAACATTAAGATATAGGGAGCACTCTTTGCCATGCACACTTTCTGTAAATGCATTGGTTTCTATAGTTTCTATGGATTCACACAAACAGCCTTGTCAGTTCTCATAAAGCCTCGTGCCTCTCCTTTCCGTCCCTTGTCTCCGGTTTACTTTTGCCTTGGCACATGTTATTGTGTGATTAATGACTCTTCTCCCAACTAAGCTGTAAATGCTGTGAGGGCAGGGACTGTGTCTGTCTCTGCTCATTCATCTGTCCCCAGAGCCCAGCACAGTGCTTGGCACAGATTAGGTGCTCAATAAATAGTTGCTGAGTAAATTAATAAATATAATTAGGAAACTTCTCACCATCTCCCAAGCTCAAACATTACCTCTTCTTTGTATCTTTCCTGGAACAGATCACTGTGGAATTACTGATGCCGTCGTCTGTGTTCCCAGAGCACTCCCACTGTGTCCTGCACTGGTAGATGGCCTTTGGCCCGTGGCATCACAGTGGTTTAGGGTCTCGTGCCCCGCTGACTGCTGAGCTTCTCCAGGGCAGAGAGCGACGGCATCATCTCTGCATCCCAGGGCTCAGCACACGGCTGGCACATATGAGGCCCACAAGGTGAATTGATTTATGTTTGAAAATGAACAGCTTCTATGTAGAGCACATGTAAGTTTTTATTTTCCAGTCATGTGCTTTCACCTACTGTTGTTGTTATAGCTCTTCTCCCAAATAATTCTTCTTTAATAATGTTCCAGCCCTTTCCTTCCACCTGCTAATGCAGAGAAGCATGGGAGAAGTGTGGGAGCAGAGAACCTCACACCATGTTGCAAAGAAAGGTTGGGATCCAGCGTATGATCCACCAATGTGACCTGTGGAACCCCAACCTCTCCCTAAACTCTCACCTGAACTATGGATGTTGTATTTTCCTGTTATCAGAGTAACTTGGCATTAATGTTGAGAGGGTAATACCTCCCTCTCCATCTGTCCATCCCTCTAGTCATTTAATAGATATTTATTGAGCACCTATTTTGTGCCACATATAGGTAGGTACTATGTCTAGATATGGTAGAGCCTGTGTTTATTTTTTTAATGTTTATATCTTTTTTATTATACTTTAAGTTCTGAGATACATGTGCAGAACGTGCAGGTTAGTTATATAGGTATATACGTGCCATGGTGGTTTGCTGCACCCATCTACATTAGGTATTTCTCCTAATGCTATCCCTCCCCTAGCCCCCACCCCCTCACAGGCCCTGGTGTGTGATGTTCCCCTTCCTGTGTCCATGTGTGCTCATTGTTCAATTCCCAATCGTGAGTGAGAACATGCAGTGTTCGGTTTTCTGTTCCTGTGTTAGTTTGCTTCATCCATGTCCCTGCAAATGACATGAACTCATCCTTTTTTATGGCTGCATAGTATTCCATGTGTATATGTGCCACATTTTCTTTATCCAGTCTATTATTGATGGACATTTGGGTTGGTTCCAAGTCATTGCTACTGTGAACAGTGCTGCGATAAACATACATGTGCATGTGTCTTTAAAGTAGAATGGTTTATAATCCTTTGGGTATATACCTAGCAATGGGATTGCTGGGTCAAATGGTATTTCTCATTCTAGATCCTTGAGGAATCACCACACTGTCTTCCACAATGGTTGAACTAATTTACACTCCCACCAACAGTGCAAAAGCGTTCCTATTTCTCCACATCTTCTCCAGCATCTATTCTTTCCTGACTTTTTAATGATTGCCATTCTAACTGGTGTGAGATGGTATCTCATTGTGGTTTTGGCTTGCATTTCTCTAATGACCAGTGATGATAAGCATTTTTTTCATATGTGTGTTGGCTGCATAAATGTCTTCTTTTGAGAAGTGTTTGTTCATATCCTTCACCTACTTTTTGATGGGTTTGTTTGTTTTTTCTTGTAAATTTGTTTAAGTTCTTTGTAGATTCTGGATATTAGCCCTTTGTCAGATGGATAGATTGCAGTGTCAGATGGATAGATTGCAAAAATTTTCTCCCATTCTGTAGGTTGCCTGTTCACTCTGATGATAGTTGCTTTTGCTGTGCAGAAGCTCTTTAGTTTAATTAGGTCCCATTTGTCAATTTTGGCTTCTGTTGCCATTGCTTTTTGTGTTTTAGTCATGAAGTCCTTGCCCATGCCTATGTCCTGAATGGTATTGCCTAGGTTTTCTTCTAGGGTTTTTATGGTTTTATGTCTTACATTTAAGTCTTTAATCCATCTTGAGTTAATTTTTGTATCAGGTGTAAGAAAGGGGTCCAGTTTCAGTTTTCTGCATATGGCTAGCCAGTTTTCCCAACACCATTTATTAAATAGGGAATCCTTTCCCCATTGCTTATTTTGTCAGGTTAGTCAAAGATAAAATGGTTGTAGATGTGTGGTATTATTTCTGAGGCCTCTGTTCTGTTCCATTGGTCTATATATCCCGTGTCTTATAGCTAGATCCAGCTGTGTGAGTAAGACAGACATTGTCCCTTAGAGAATACAATCTGGTGAGGTGCCAGGTAATCAGTCTCTCACATATTAATTCTCCCTTTGTTTCGTTTTCAAACGTAGAAACAATTTTTTAATCTTAAAAAAATTCCAAAAACCTCTTAGCTACTTTTGCTGCCCTTCCTAGCAACTTTCTCTCATCTTTCCTTTTCACTGGCAAAGTGTAAAATGTGTAGCTTGAGCTGGTGCTATTGATTTCCTTGCTACTCATTACCTCCCTGCTTCTGCACTCACCACTCTGCTGAAATTGCTCTCTTCGTGGGCACAAAAGGCCCAAGAAACCAATGCCCCTTTCTCAGGCTCATTAGCAATAGGTTCTTCCTTCCTTCTTGGAACTATTATATTCTTTATCTGACAGTGATTTCATGTTATAGCTTTAGCCTGGGCAATTTAAGAGATTTATTTTCCCCTCAAAAGAGTTGAGCCTTAAAATAAATCTGGACATAAAACACAATATTTTAAAATGTTTTTACTGCAAAATACGTAATGCAACTAGTAAAAATTCATGCCATTCAAAAGCATATGTACCCCAATCCCCCAAATTCTAGTTTCTCATCTCCAAAGGGACTATTATCAGTTTCTTGGATGTCCCTCCAGAATTATTCTAGGAAATTAATATTTAGAGGTCACCAAGATGCTTTGTATGGAACTGAGGATGGAAGCAGGAAGAGAACAAAAATTTATTTTGGGGGGGTAAGGTGAAGTGTTGGAATAGAGGCAAAGATAAGCAAAGGGATTCTACCTAGATGATAGGGATGATGAATTGAAGACAACTACAGGTTTAGCAGCCTTTAACGTGGGACACTGGAAGAATAAAGGATCAGTGGTAGAAATGGGATCAGCAAATGGCGACGGGTAGTGCTCCTTTTTAGAAATTGTGAGTTTGAAGTGATTTAAGATGATTGGGCAGTGGAAAGAGCCCAGGACAGGGGTCAGAAGAACTGAGTGAAGTCTAAATGCTACAACTAAATATAAGACTTTGAGCAGAAGAAACTTTGAGCCTAAGTTCCTTCAACAAGGTTTTATTGAATACCTGCTTGTGTCAGGCACTGATCTAAGCACCAATAATACAGCAAAAGATGAAAGCCCCTGCCCTACAGAGCTTACATTCTAGTGTAAGCTAGAGAGGCAGACCACAAACAAGATTGGAATATATTTCCATGCAGTGATAAGTGCTATGAGGAAAAATAAATCAGGATAAGGGGCTAGAAAAGGTGGGTTGGAGTGATACCATATATAAGGCAATCAGAGAAGGCCTCTCTGAGGAGGTGACCTGAAGGACAGAAATGAGTTTCGGGGAATTCAGTGGACTGTCTCCATGGGCACTTCCACTGTATGGTCTATGATTCTAAGTGAAGACATCCTATAGTAACTTAGAAATTAGGGCCTAGGGCATAGGTATTCTTAAGATTAGGGAGAGAGATGTGTATCTGATGAGCTGCCTCAGCCTGGAGCCCTGAATGACTGCATGGATGAGATGACAGAAGCCATGAGATCAGAGATGAAACTATGTTAGAAAAGCAAGACCAAACACAATGAGCAGAGGCACACTAAAAGCTGGGGGAAGAGTGGGGGAGGAGACGATAATGAAGGAGATAAAAAGATGAAATATTCTACAGCTGAAGAACAACAGACAGAGACAACATGGTTGCAGATACCCAGCGAGGAGGAAGTGGTGTTGAAGAGGGTCAGATTATGTAAAGAGGTAAAGAACTGGGATAAATCCTCAGGATTTGGCTAAAAAGTCACTGACAATGTTCCTGGGCTGTGTCAGTGGCAAGACAGAAAGCAGAGGGTAAATTACATGGAGTAAAGGAGAAAGCAGGCAGTGTAGAGTGAGGCTGAGAAATCACCGGCCTCAGCGTGCATGGCTTACCACACTAGAAGCTTATCTTTTGCCCAGGCAGCAGCCTCAGGCAGGTGTCAGCTATCAAGGCAGCTTCCCCCGTGACCACTGGGGCCCTGGCTGTTGGTGGCTCTCCATGGCCTCCTGCTCATTCAGAAGGGAAAGGGTGTGGAAAAGACCATGTAGGAGGTTTGCACAGGTCAGGCCTACAGGAGGCACATCTCACCCTGCTCACATTCCACTGGGAAGAACTACACCATATGATCACGTCAAGCTGCAAGGAAGTTTAGGAAACTAGTCTGGCTCTGGGTCCAAGAAGAAGTGCAGAAAGGATTTTTGGTGAACAGTTAGCCATCTCTTTCACAGAACAACAGGAAGTGGGGACACTGGGTCCAGACCAGCACTTGTGATAGTGGGACATCAGTCCCTCAGGATATTCTGGAATACAGAGTTCTAAGAACAGTTTGGGAAATGCCAAGTTCTATGTCCTTTTTTGGAGAATTAGAATGCAGTCTTAAAAGTGCTAGTGATCCTGTGGTTAAGAGACAAAGCATTTCCTAAATGTCCTTGACTTAGGGACCTCTGGATTTCTGATGTGACTGTGGGTCTGGGTATGATGCAGACTAAGATCATGTGGGAAAAACCTGGGAAACACCACTGAAGCTTGAGAGGACCTCATGCTAAGAAAGGATGTGTTAAGATAGAAGTGCAAAATCTTGTGTAAGGGTGAACACCAAGACCCCTTGGTGAGGGGGAGATTCTAAACCTTAGAGGAGGAAGGAGATTGTGGGGCTGAGGCAGGGTGAGCAGAAGAAATGGCAGCCGAAGCAGAGGCAGGAACATCAGCCGTCTCCACGGGGTGTGGAGAAATAGACTTTTACTGTAAAAGTCAGACGGGAAGAAATAAGGGGGCTTGGGATGGCCCCTTTGGGTGATTGGGAGAGGAGATGGCATGAGAAGTCTGAGAAGGTGTCTAGAGTGAAGCTGTGAAGAATCAAAGGACTGGATGTTTAAAGTCTTCTGAAGAATGGAGATGGATGGAAATCTGAATATGTTTTATGAAAATGCACACAATTGGATTTGAAGATTAGTAAATCCCTGTCTCCCAAGCCTGCTCAAGACAGTCGTAGAAGCAGTGACAATTGGATCCAGCTGACCAGTAGTCGCCTCAGCAGCTCCTAGTAAGCCTCCCAGCATGCGGCGGTGCCTGTGATTAGTGGGTTATTTGAGCTCACAGTTTGCATAATGCCTTTTGCTCCTTCTCTCCTGTAATCCCCACGCCACCCAGGAAGATGTGAGTCTCAGGATGGAAAATGGTGACCTCCAGGATGGCACAGCTCTTGGTAAGGGAGCTGGCCATGGGCCCCATCCTCTAGCTCCCGACCTGTTCCCTGCTGCATCATCTACTTGGTATTTTCCCTTTGCATTTTCATACGGTCCCCAAATGGGATCGGTGGGTCCTCTCTTGTCTTCTCTGGATAGAGTTTAACAGAGCAGGGCTTTGTGGCACTCTACTAGAGGTACCTCTCTGTTAAGGGTTGAATTGTGCCCCCCTGCAAATTCATGTGTTGGAGTTCTAACCCCTGGTACCTCAGAATGTAACCTCATTTGAGAGAAGTTGTGTACACAGGCGTTCAAGTTGAAATGAGGCCATGAGGGTGGGCTTGAATTCAGTCTGGCTAGTGTCCTTGTAAGGAGGGGAATTTGGAGACAGGCATGCATATGGCAGACACTATGTGAACATGAAGGTGGCCGCCTACAAGCCAAGAAGAGGGGCCTGGGACAGATGCTTCCTCACAGCCCTCAGAGGGAACCAACCCTGCCAACACCTTGGTCTTGGACGTGCAGCCTCCAGAACTGTGAGAAAATAAGTTTCTACTGTTTAAGCCCCCAAATCTGTTACAGCAGCCTCAGGAAACTAATATGCTACCCTAAGCAGATTCAGCCCATTTTCTCTGAGTGATGTTGAAGTTGCTGTAAAAATGCCCTCAAGTGTTATATTAGCTTATCCAGGAAGATGTACGAACCACTTGGCTAAAAACTTGGCTAAAATCAAGCCAGGCATGTGGTGGCACACAACTATAGTCCCAGCTTATTCAGGAGGCTAAGGTGGGAAGATCACTTGAGCCTAGTTCAAGGCCAGCCCAGGCAACAGAGTGGGACCCATTAAAAAAAAATGTGCCAAAATTAAGGTTCACTTTGATGATGATTTTACAAATGATGATGATCATTTGTAAAAACTTATCTTAGAAAAGAAAATAAGGGTAGTTTGACTTAATTTGCATATATTTATTTATTTACTTTTGTAGAGGAGATCATATTGACCCATAGAGACTCTCACAAGTTTTGCTAAGGGTTCACAAACTGTCCATTAGAGAATACCTACCAGAATTTGTCCATGAAACAAGTTCAAGCTTACCAATTTACAGTGATCATAATCCACTTTCTGGCAATTGCAATGTTTGCCCATCAGGAGCCTGTGTTGTCAGATCTGAGTTCCTTTAGAGTGGCTGAATATTCTCATCCTACTGGCTCACCTGCTTTTGGAATGTATTTCTCTCTCCTTTCATTCTGAAAAATTTTCGGCCAGGCACGGTGGCTCACGCCTGTAATCTCAGCACTTTGGGAGGCTGAGGCAGGCAGATCACCTGAGATTGGGAGTTTGAGACCAGCCTGACCAACATGGAGAAACCCTGTCTCTACTAAAAATACAAAATTAGCCAGGTGTGGTGGCACATGCCTGTTCCCAGCTACTCGGGAGGCTGAGGCAGGAGAATCACTTGAACCCAGGAGGCAGACGTTGTGGTGAGCTGGAGATTGTGCCACTGCACTCCAGCCTGGACAACAAGAACGAAACTCCGTCTCAAAAAAAAAGAAAGAAAGAAAAAAAATTTTCAAACATACAAAAAAGTTGCAAGACTATTTCAGGGCTTCCTCATATAACTTTCACCTAGGTTGACCAGTTATTAACTTTTTACCGTGTTTATTCATGTGTGTGTGCATACATACACACATTTATTTATATTTATACAATTTTTAAATTTATATATAATTTTATTTTTTCTAAATATTTGAGAATCAACTCCAGACACTGTAACTCTTCACCCGTAAAGACTTAAGTGGCTGGGCATGTGACTCATGCCTGGAATCCCAGCACTTTGAGAGGCCAAGATGGGAAGATTTCATGAGCCCAGGAATTCAAGACCAGACTGACCAACATGGCGAGACCCCGTCTCTACAAAAATACAAAAAATTAGCTGGTCATGGTGGCATGTGCCTGTAGTCCCAGCTACTCTGGAGGCTGAGGTGGGAGGATCAGTTGAGCCCAGGAGTTCGAGGCTGCAGTGAGCTGTGATTTTGCCACTTTACTCCAGCCTGGGTGACAAAGCCAGACCCTGTCCCCCCAAACCCCCTCCTCCACCCCCCCAAAAAGAAGATTTAAGCATGTAATTCTAGAAACAGGTATATTCTTTTATATATCTATGGTGTAATTACCAAAATTGAGACATTTAACATCAGTAACAAAACTATTATTGTATATACAACCCATATTAAAATTTGCCTAAGTCCTAACGCCGTCCTTTATACAGTTTTCTCCAATCCAGGAGCACACATTCCTTTACTTGTCATTTCTCTTTAGCCTTCTTTCATCAGGAACAGTTCTTCAGCTTTTCTCTGCCTTTCCTGACCTTGACATTTTTGAAAAGTGCAGACCAGTTATTTTATAGAGTTATTCTATTTGGGCTTGTCTAATGATTTTTCCTGCTTAGATTCAGGTTACGCACTTTTGCCACACGTTTAATTTTAAAACCGGTGTCTTTCCTGAGGAAGATCTGAAGAAAAATAGTAGCTGCATGAAGTGGTTCTGCCTTCTATTATTAATCTACTTACACTACTCTTCCCTTACAGCAGAACTTTCACTTCTTTGTTCTTGTTGCCCACATGGTTTTAAAGGCCTTTTTTGATGCTGTTAGCAGTTTTCATCCTAGTCAATCCAAACAAGGCCTCAATTTTTGTGACTTAATGCTGGTGGTAGCACAGGGCTTTGGAGAAAGATGTCCCTGTCTGGGTTTGAATCCTGATTCTATTATTTACCTACTCCCTCTTCTTAGACAGATTTTACTAATATCCTTGAACTTCAGTTTCCATACATATAAAAATGGTGAAATGAAGCATTCATCTTGCAAGACTATTGAGAAGATTAAATAACACAGAGTGAAAAACACATGGCACATACCATGTTTAAGAGAATGCTTCTCACTTTCCTTTCCTTCCTTCTACCAGCCCCAAGCCATGCCTTTCTATCTCTACCCCGGCACTGTGGCTGCAATGGTGCCCACCCACATTCCCCCTTCAGCATGGAGATGCATTCCACCAGCAGCGGAGTGCTAGCTGCTGAGGGCTTCTAGCTCAGTCCCCTCCAGGAATTGCCCTGCGCTGAAAGGAGCTCCCTTGCCTGAGGTTTCTTCCCCTCCTAGAGGCTGTCTGCAACACGTCACAGAGGTCCTGAATTCGGGATAACTCCAAAGGGTCATCTTACATGCAGAGCCCCCAGGAGGTCAGCTGAGGCCTGGATTGCAACTGCATGGCAGCCCAGCTTCTCTCTGGCCAGCTTCTCTCTGGCCAGCCCAGCTTCTCTCTGGCCGCCTTACAAGTGTTGACCCACATGCACTCCCTAGTAGGCCACCTACACACACGTTTCAGCCTCAGAGCCTGTTTCCTGGGGAGCTGATCTGTGACACCTGGTGACAGTCTCTGGCCCTAGATTTAATCTATGTTATTCATTTTGGGAAAAATAAAGCCATATTGAAAATTATGCCCATTATGTAAAATTCAACCAATGCAGAAAAGTTCAAGGAAGATAATAAAACTCACCCAAAGTCCCAATATTTTTAAAGTATCCTCACATCCATCAAGGTGCATGTGTGTTGAGTGTAGGGGCGTATTTTATACAGATAAGGTTATGTACTACATGCTATGCTGGAATTGTGGCAGAGAGTGTGGTCCTTCAATACCCATCCTCTCCTACTTCCATTGTAACAGAATTTATACACCTGACTGCCTAGAATAAAGACGATGTTCCCTAGTCCTCCTTAGAGCTAGATATGGCCATGACTAGGTCAGGCCAATGGCATGTAGGAGGAAGTTGTGTGGGCAACTTCTGGGTCATCCTCAAGGACAAAGGGACATCCTCTTTCCTTACTCTTTTCACTGATGAGAGTACTAAAAAGGCTTTTAGCAAAAAATAGCAAACCCTGTTATTTCTTGATTTATCCGTTTTAAAAGTTCTATATTGACTTCATGTTTTGGCATCTGAGGTTTAGATGTCTCATATCCTCTGTGTGTGTAGGCACCAAGAGTTGCATTGTGGTTGGATAGTTTGAGAGCCTATGAGACACCCAGCTGGAGATTTCGGGGATGCCATTGGATAAGTGAGTCTGGCCCCACCTAGCAAAAGGTTTGCTTTCCTTCTCATGCCTCCAAGCTCAGAAAGTCTAATTCCCCACTCCTGTTTCAAAAATTTTTATAAACAATTATCTTTTCTTTGGTTTTAATTTTTTTAAGGGTTTCTGTTTTTATGAAAATATTATACTCAGTGATAAAGAAGTATGAAGCATTGTAAAAAAGAAAATAAAGATCACCCAGAGATAACCATTGTTAACATTTTGATTCTCTTTCTCTAGGAAGACTTTGTTATATTGATTGTAAATATTGTATTTTTCCTTGTGTAAGATTTGTGTTTTAGGCCAGGTGCAGTGGCTCACGCCTGTAATACTAGCACTTTGGGAGGCCAAAGCAGGCAGATCACCTGAGGTCAGGAGTTTGAGACCAGCCCGGCCAACATGGTGAAACCCTGTCTCTACTAAAAATACAAAAATTAGCCGGTTGTGGTGGCGAGTGCCTGTAATCCCAGCTACTTGGCAGGCTGAGGCAAGAGAATTACTTGAGTCCGGGAGGCGGAGGTTGCAGTGAGCCAAGATTGCGCCACTGCACTCCAGCCTGCACAACAGAGTGAGACTCCATCTCAAAAAAAAAAAAAAAAAAATTGCGTTTTAATTTTATCGTGCTTTTAAACATAGAATTTAAACTTTGTTATTTAATCGGATTTATTCATCTTTTCTTTTTAGGGCTCCTGGGTTTCATACTTAGATACTTAGAAGCCCCCTCCCTGAACAGATGCAACTAAACATTACAAAATTGTTCTGTTGTGTTTTCTAGTACTCTTTTGCATGTATTTTTTACATTTAAAATTTTAATCCATCTTGAATCAATTGCAATGAAAGAAGAGTATTCCTCTTCTTCCTAAATAGTACAGTGAATCCATCATTTATTAAATAATTTATCTTTTTCCTACTAACTTAAAATGCCACCTTTATCATAAACTAAACACTCACATGTAATTGGATCATTTTCTGGACCTCCTGTTCACTCTTCACTTCAAATTTCTTCCTGCACTTCTATCAGTAATATGCCCTTCTAAAGGTTGCATCTTTATTTATGTTATTATTATTATTATATATTTTTAGTCAGGGTCTCACTCTGTCACCCAGGCTAGAGTGCAGTGACGTGATCAAGGCTCACTGCAGCCTTGACCTCTTGGGCTCAGGTGATCCTCCCACCTCAGCCTCCTGAATAGCTGATACTGCAGGCATGTGCCACCACGCCCAGCTAATTGGTAGAGAGGGGGATATTGGTAGAGATAGGGTTTCACCATGTTGCCCAGGCTGGTCTTGAACTCCTGGGCTCAAATGATCCTCCTACCTGGCCTCTCCAAAGTGCTGAGATTACAGGTGTGAGCCACTGAGCTTGGCCTAGTCCTTCACATCTGTACTCTTTTGTTAGTCAAGAAATGTTTTCTTATTTTTATTTTCATTTTTTATTATTGGTACAGTTGTAAATCTTTTCATATGGTTTTGTCCATTTGTATTTGTATTCTTTCATAATATTTCTCATTCTACTTTGCCCATTTTTCTCTTACAGGTTTGCTTTATTTATTATTGGTTTATTTGAGGTTTGAGATATAAATGATATTTTAAATGTTAGCTTTTCTTTCTGTAGTGTATTATAAATACTTTCCTCCTTTTGTCTTCCAACTCTGTGGAGTTTTAAAAATATCTGTCGTTGGTGTTTTCTGGGTTTCACAACATGTTTAGAAATGTTTTTCCCGTCCAAGTTGCTATGGATTGAGTTGGTCCTCACCAAAACTCATGTTGAAATTTGATCCCCGGTGTGGCAGTGTTGGGAGGTGGGGCCTAGTAGGAGGTGTTTGGGTGGTGAGGATGGATCCTTCATGGACAGTTTGGTGCTGGACTCCTGGTAATGAGGGAGTTTCCCTGGGAATGGATTAGTTCCCACAAGAAAGCACATTGTTATAAAGCAGATGCCCATGGGTTTTGCCTCTTTGCATGTTCTGACCCAGCATGCGGCCCTCCCCAAAACCTAACTGATAAGGTGCCATGCTTCTTGAACTTCCCAGCCTGCAGAACCAACAGCTAAATAAACCTCTTTTAAAAATGAATTACCCAGTCTCAGGCATTCTGTTATAGCAACACAAAATGGACACAAGTTTATTACAAATGTACCAGTTTTTCTTCCAATGTGTGTATGGCTTCATATATTTTAAATCTTTAAATTTTGACCCATTTGGAATTTATTTTGTTCAACAGAGTAATATGGAGATCCAGGTTTCTTTTGTCTTTTTCCAGGTATTGAGCTAATTGTTCCAATCCCATTTATTACATGATCCATCTGATTTGAAATTCTTTCTCCTATAACAAATTTCCCTATTTATTTCTGTCCCTTTATGCACTCTTTTTTTTTTTTTAACCTGTTGTGCTATCTGTTTTTCCTGGCTGAGTAACATTATACTTTCATCCCTATAGCTTTATAATATTCTTTAATATGTGCCAGGGTAAGTTTCTTGTCTTTCTCAAAATTTTCTTGGTTATCCTTATGCATCTGTTTTTCAACTCAAATTTTAAAATAATTTTGTCTAATTTCTAAGAAAAATCGTTTTGCAATTTCATTTGGAATTGCAAAAAAAATATTATTTATTTGGAAAAATGAAATAATTTTGCAATTTGGAGTATTCTATCCAAGATCCAAATAATGCCTTTCCTTTTGTTGGAGTCATCTGTTATGTTCCTTGGTAGTATTGTTTTTTTTTCCTCTTCATGAACATTGCTTGTTTAGTTTATTTTTCAGATATTACATATTATTAATATTTCTTTCTCACTGTATTTTCTAACTGGTTAATGGTTGTCTAGTATAAGCGCTTGGTAAGTGGAGAGTGGATTCCCCCATCGCCCACCCCTCCTGCAGGGCTTCCCAAAGTCACACATTCCTATAATTGGGCATGCTGTACATTATATGTATATGCCTTATAGTGTGTGCATTTCTTGTATGTGAATTCTGCTTCCTGGGTTGAAGATATGATGGGAAAATATCATTGACTCTTGTACATGTTATAAATAAAGTTTTGGTGCCTCAAAAGAAATAGCACTCGAATCAGTAAGCCATCTCCCTGCCCTCTGATTTAAGATAGTTCTAACTTGGTGAGGCTTGCTTACTGTCAATTTTCCTCCAAACGTTAACTTTCTGCTTTCCTCGACTAGTATTGCCGTAGGCGCGATGGACTGGATGCATTGAGGCCATCCACAAGTGACTGGGTCTAAGACCTTTGATAGGAAGGCCACGGGCTGCTGGAGGTCACTGTGTTCTTGTGTCCGCACTCCTAAAGCTACCCCACCATCCACATTAACAAAAAGGTGGGGCCGGGCGCTGTGGCTCACGCCTGTAATCCCAGCACTTTGGGAGGCCAAGGCGGGCGGATCACGAGGTCAGGAGATCGAGACCATCCTGGCTAACACGGTGAAACCCCGTCTTTACTAAAAACACAAAAAATTAGCCGGGCATGGTGGCGGGCGCCTGTAGTCCCAGCTACTCGGGAGGCTGAGGCAGGAGGATGGCGTGAACCCGGGAGGTGGAGCTTGCAGTGAGCCGAGATCATGCCACTGCACTCCAGCCTGGGCGACAGAGCAAGACTCCATCTCAAAAAAAAAAAAAAAAAAAAAATGTGGGATGGCTTTTCTAGGGAGGGTAAGGCTAAAACAGGGGAAGTTATGAGCCTTTCTGTCAGCTCCTTGACTTGATCAACTTCCTCAGAAGTCCACAGGAGAGGGTTAGGCTTCTCCTGGGCAAGTTTTTGATGTAACAGTTTACTGTGCAGTGCATATGAGTCAATCCGTAAGTGGCAGTATGTGACTAACCCTAAAAATTTCCTGAGTTCTTGTTTAGTTTGAAGCAAGGGTAGGGACATGATTCCATCAATTCGTTCAGGCCCTATTCTTCACTTGCCTGCACTTATTAAGTGGCCTAAATATTTAACTTCAGGCTCTACATACTGAAGCTTCCTTTTTTTGAGACTCTTAGCTCCTCAAACTGCAGATGGTTAAGAATATGTGTAGAGAAGTTAGTTACCTTCTCTATATCTTTACCAGATATAAGAAGGTCATCCATGTACTGGAGAAGGCATATTTGTTCTGGAATGAAAACTTTTTCTAATGCTTGTTCTAAAATTTCACCAAAAATATTAGGGGAGTCTGTGAACCCTTGGGGCAAGACTGTCCATTGATATTGTTGTTTCCGCCCTCAGTGGAGATCCTCCTACTCAAAAGCAAATATATCTTGGCTATCTTTAGCCAGGGGGCATGCCCAAAATCAACCTTCAAATCTATTACAGTAAACCATTGATGATTATATGGAATCTTGCTGAGAATGGTGTAAGGACAGGGGACAACGGGGTGGGTAGTCTGAACTATTTGGTTGATAGCTCTAAGGTCCTGTACTAGCTGGTATGACCCGTCTGATTTCTTGACTGGCAGTATTGGGGGTGTTATAAGGGAACATACGGGACTTGAGAAGCCCATCTTTAATAAGGCCTTCGATTATACGTTTCAACCCTATCCTACCTTGTAGGGGAATAAGCTATTGCTTCCTTCTCACTACTTCTCCAGGGGTTTTTAGCTTGATGTGGATTGGAGGGACTCGGAGTTTCCCTCAGTTCCCTTCTTTGGACCAGACACTAGGATTAATATATTTTTCATCTGCAGTGGTGAGTAGGTTTAATGAGGTGAGGAATCCTCTTGGACTGACTTGTAGACCTATGCCCAACTTTAACATTAAATCCCCCCCAATAAATTAGTTTCTGCTTCAGGGATTAACAAGAACTGAATGTGAGCTGAGCGACCCTGCTATCTAACTTTGGTGCTTTCTAAAATTTTTACTCTACATCCTTCCCTTTTACCCCAGAGACTAAAAGCTCCTCTGAAGAAGAGACAACATTAGACAGGGGGAAACAAACAGAGGAGCGAGCAGCCCCTGAATTGAGTAAAAAGGTGATAATCTCATGTTTAGGTCCCACCTCTAAATGTATCAAGGGCTCCTGGTGGGACTCAAGATAAAAGAGATAGAGCCCCTGACACCCCTATTCTTCCTCGAAAGTCATGAGTGGAAGGGCTTCTTTCTCCTTTCTTAGTTCGGGACATTCCCTCTTGAAGTGGTCTGTTCTTCCACATCTATAGCACCTATCTTGCCCTTACTCCCTCTTAGTTCAGGGATTCTTTAACCCTGCTCCCCCATACTCTTTAGCGGGGCCTGGTAGACGAGGGCCTTGCCCCTCCAGATGGAGGCTGGGGTCCTTTAAAGAAGGGTTCGGCCCCTTTACAGTTTCTGGTTCCCTGGAAACTCTATCTAGAAGTACCTGGGTTTGGAGCCATCTGTTGGAAGGTGGGTAACATAAGTTTTGCCTTTTGTTTCTGTTTTTCTTTGTCCCTTCTCACGTATACTTTCTGAGCTTCTCTGAGAAGCTCACTTAGGGCATGGTCTTCCCAACTGTCTATCTTTTATAGCTTTTTTGAAATGTCTGGCCAACTTTTAGTGACAAATTGGAGTTTCAACATTCCTTGCCCAAGGGTATCGTCCAAATTGAGGCCTGCATGTTGCCTCATTTGCTCCCTCAGTCTATCTGGAAATCTCATAGGCCCTTCATCCTTTTCCTGTTGTATATCAAATGCTTTAGAAAGATTTTGGGTTCGGGGTGCTGATTCCTGAATTCCTTTTATTATCATCTCCCTTAAGTACTCCATATTTTCCCGGTGGTCTGCGTTGTTATTGTCCCACTGGGGGTCTCGGGTGGGGAATTTCTGGTCTGCGGTAGGAACATTTTCACCGGGAGGGTGCTCACATTCCCAAACTACCATAGCAGCCCTACAAATCATACTCCTTTCTTTCCTTGAAAAGGGGATGCCCAAGATAGACATTAACTTGACCCAAGTGTATAACTGAGGTCCTAAGAATTGGTCAATTTGATCTGCCCATAAGGGTCATCTAGTAGCAGTTTAAGCTCCTTTTTAAAATTCCGGACTTCTAAACTGGTTAAGAGAGCATTTACAAAGCCAGTGGCCTCCCCTCCTTGTGGCACTTATTTCAAATGGAAGAGCGTCGAGGCTGGCCCCTTAGGTACGGAGGGAAATGGGAAATTCTGAATATCTTTTTTACATTGTTCTATCTCATGCTGGAGTCCTTTTAGAGAGGGGTATTTAGGTTGGGAGGGAACAGGCTGGTGGGATGGTAATTCCCAAGAGTCAGGGTTATAAGGAAGAGGGATAATGTGAGTAGAGGAAGGATTTGGAATGGGATCTGAGGTGGCAGTGGCCGCCTGAGGGGAAGGATTGGGGACACTGAGCGAAGGAAGATAGTCTAGGGGATCTCATGCACTGGATTCTTTAGGCATGAGGGCTGGCTCCTCTGACTTTTCATTTGAGGTGCCAGATTGGGTTTTTCCCTATTTGTTTTTAAGGGAAAAAAGGGGACAGGTCCTTGCCTCCTTTCAATATCCTTCCAGTATTTTAACATGAGACCTAGGGGGCTATCCAGGGGGATATCCTTGTTACCATCTTTATCCCTCCCATCTTGATGATTTTGGGGTAAGGTGAAATTTTCCTTACTGGAAATTTCTCACCTTTTGGGATGAGGCTCAACTTCCCCTACTGGAAATTTCTTGCCTTTTCTACTCCTGGAGGTTTGTGTGAGGTTCAATCCCCTGAAATATGCAGAAGGCTCAACCCCTCAAACCAGGGGTGTCTTGCTTTGCCTGCCCTGGAAGCCTCAACCCCTTAAACCAGGGGATGTCTTGCCTTGCTGCCCTGGAAGGTTGACCTGTTTCCTGTTTCCTCCCTTTCCCCCTCTGAAGGTCCCTTGCACACTTCCCACTCATGTTGTCCTCTCTAGCTGCTCCCCCAACGGAGAATTAGGCCCCCTTAGCGTTGGCATGCTGGTATAAATCCCACGGCAGGATCTGTCCTAAGCCATACAAGGTAGCTATGGAACCATGGAGAGGGCCCACTCACTCTGTCCAGCAGTAGGACTTGTCACCATCCACACGAACAACACTGCAAGTAGGGTTGTTTGTGATCATTCACGCACACACACATTTAGCCCTCCAGAATTTGACCATCAAGGAAGTACTTTACCGGCTCCTGCAGCTTCTCCTTCCTTGGTCTGTGCACAGACCCGTCACCACAGTGTGTGAGGATCCTTTACCCTAGGCTGCTGGCCAGTTTCTTTCAGTATTGCTGAGAGCTTGGGTTATTCCTCGCACTGGGTGGGTCCTGATTTCTCACCCCTGAGGCTGCCACAAGGGGGCAGGGCGCACTTCCTCACAAGAGAGAACCAGAGACCGCCCCTGGAGGAAATGTAATCATGGGCAAGCCCCCAGACTGTTATAAATAAAGTTTCGTTGCAGCAAAAGAAATAGGACTTGAATATAAAATGTTCTTTTTTTTCTTCTCAGCAAGGCAATTTACTTCTATAGAAGGGTGTGCCCTCACAGATGGAGCAATGGTGAGCACACACCTGGACAAGGGAGGGGAAGGGGGTCTTATTCCTGACACATGTGGCCCCTGCTGCTGTGTCAGTCCCCTATTGGCTAGGGTTAGACCGCACAGGCTAAACTAATTCCAATTGGCTAATTTAAAGAGAGTGACAGGGTGAGTGGTTTGGCGGGAAAAATGGTTATGGCAGAGCAGGAAATCAGAATCAGAATGAGTCAGGGTGGAGCGGGTAATCGGAATGAGTCACAGTGGATCAGGTGATCGGAATGAGTCAGGGTGGAGCAGGTGATCAGAATGAGTCAGAGTGGAGCAGGTGATTGAAAAAGGTTGCTTTATGAGGAAGTTAAGTTTAAAAGTAGAAGGCAAAGAATTGAACATACTGACACATTAATTCTTTGAAGAGAAATTTGAACTCATATGTAACATACACAAGCTGACAGACTCATCTGCTCCATTGCGGGAGACCCCTTGGCTGGCTGGGTGTATCTCACTAAGGGGCAGAACAGCAGACACAGGCCATGGTTGTACACCATGGAGAAAAGTTAAGAGAGGCCCTTTTGACCGCCACTGAGTTTCCTGTACTTTCAGACTTGAAGAACTCAGCCCATGTAGATCTAAGGTCATGTATAATGACATTCCAATGCCTGTGGAGGGCCAAGAGGGCTGGAGGCATTTTTCTTTTTCTTTTGTTTTTGTTTGTTTTGAAAGATGCAATTGAGAAAACCAGGGATCCTTTTGATGTCATTTCATCATGGATCCTGTATTTCTGGTGCTGTGTAATTTGCATGATTGGCTCAGCAGTCTCCCTCTAGGAGCTGACTGCAGTACTGTGGTTTCTGAGGACAGGTATGCTGTTGTATTTTGCAGTTATGTCACTTTGTTTCATTACAAATGAGTCCATATGTGGCCACAGCACTGATCGGGCCATGAAATTCCAGAGACAGCTTATTACCAATAAGAGTTAAAGGGAGTGGTGTTGTGGCAGCCAGGGCCAGAAAGCAGTATTCTCTAGACTGCTTCAAAACGTTCTCTTATTAGCGCAGGCCCAGTCACCAACTTCTCTTCAAAGACCCGGTTTTGCAGGGTGAATAGTGAGATAACCATGGATTCTTTTATAGACCTGTGAAACTTTGTTGTTTTTATTGCAATTACTTCTGACTTGTTTAGTGGCTTTCCACCCCCTCCTGCCCCCTGCCTTGATTCTTTCAATCCCCTCCAGGGTGCTGTAACCATAAAAAGGTTACCAACCACTGGGGTAGTCACTTTAGGGCCAGGAAGGTGGGATTCAAATATAACTGTGTAACTGACAGAATGATTCATTACCTTGTAGGTCATTGGAAAAGACCAGAGTTTCTCAAACTGCGTTCCATGGGCTGATATGAATCATACAAATGTCCTAAGCACAAAAAGTTCTCAGGGTTCTGGGGCCAAATTGGCCTAGGAAATGCTGCATACTAATTCCCCCTCTCAGAGCTGTACAATGTACATTAGCATATTAAAAGTTCTGAGAAGTACAGCAGTAAAGAATCCAATTTTAATTCTGCTGAGTGATTAAGCGAGTTTATTGGTACAAGGAACAAGTTTCTTTTAGGCCAACAGGTTTCCCTTAACACCAGTTTTGGAAGGGTTAGAAGAGATTTAATGGAATTTTACCTCTTAGGTCATGGGGTCCCAGCATCCCATTTAAATGTGTGTCAATGTTGAATTATTAGAGCTAGATTTTAAATGAAAGGCAATCAAAACCAAATTCTGCATAAATATAATTTTGCTTGTTTGTTCGTAATGTCATTGGTGTATTTCAATACATTAGATACTCTAAGTGGTGGACCTTTCAACTCCCATGGGCTCGTTGTCACTCTTAGCAAATGACCTTCTAATGCATTCACTGATTAATCTATTCAAGTAATAGGTATTAAGGGACTCCTGAGTAAACAGCTCTGTGCTAAGTGGGAAGAAGCTGGAGACATTTTTGATTCTAGGAGTGGTAAGGGAAAAGAGAACCTGGAGGGTAAAAGAAGCCCTGTCATTCATGTGGCTCCCCGCCACACTGTCGGCAGGACTGTGTGATCAGCGCTGGGTGGCTGTGGGAGGAGAATTTCCAGTCTGAGCCTGGGAGGGGCAGTGGCTCAAGCCAGAAAGTAGGTCATCTTTTCATCTGGGGCCCTTGAGGGTTTTGCCAGGGACGCCGACACTCACCCACTAAATTCTGACAAGTAGCAGTTCACAGTGGCAACAGTACAGCTGTGTAACAGACCACCTCAGCACTCAATTGCTTTAAACAGTTCTCATTGGATGTTGCAGCTTGGCTGAATTAATCTGATCTAGGCTTGGTGGGGTGGCTTTTCTTTTCACTGCAGGTCCGTGGGTCAGCTGGGGTGTCTCCGCTCCTCGTGTCTCTTATCCTCCTTGGACCTAGCCAGGAATGCTCTCATGGGAATGGCAGAGGCAAAGATGGTAAGCTCAGCCATGCAAGTACTTTCAAGCCTCTGTTGCGTCTCCTCTGCTGACATCTCATTGGCCAAAGCACAGCAAGGATGGGGAAGTATACCTCGCCCCTATGGGTGAAAGTTACATGGCAAAGCCTATGGATGTCTACTCCCACAGCCTGGGAGCCAGTAATCCAGTCTGCCAAACTGTGTGATATGCCCCTTCCAGGAACCATGGAACCATGATGCCGTCATCCCTTCAGGGTTGTAAATTCCACCCAGAGTGTCTGAGAACTCAGCATTGGCTCTTGGATATGAGGAAGTTCTTTCTGGATCCAGTAAGAACTGAGGGCTGGCTGATGACTTGGAATAAAAAATAGCAGCCCAGATGTGATTGTTCATTTGTGTGTCAACTCGACTGGGCTAAGGAATGCCCAGATGGTTGGTAAAACATGACTCCTGGGTGTGCATGTAAGAGTGTTTCTGGAAGAGGTTAGCATTTGAAATGGTGGACTGAGTAAAAAATGTCTACCCTCCCCAGATTGGACATCACCTAACCCATTGAAGGCGTGATAGGACAAAAAGGCAGAGGAAGGGGGGATTCACTCTCTTCTTGAGCTGGGACATCCATCTTCTCCTGCCTTGGACATCACAGCACCTGGTTCTCAGGCCTGTGGACTTGACCGGGAGTTCTACCATCTGCCCTCCTGGTTCTCAGGACTTCGGGGCTGGGACTGAATTTTACCACCAGCTTTCCTGGTTCTCTAGCTGCAGACAGCAGGTGATGGGAGGGCTTCTCGGCCTCCATAATCATATGAGACCATTCCCCTAATAATTTTCCTAGAGAGCTGCATCTTCCTATTTTTCTCTGTCTTAGTCTCTCCCTCTCTTTATCTGTCTATAAATCTATATCTCCTGTTGGTTCTGTTTCCCTGGAGAACCTTTTTGTTTTTAGACAGTCTCACTCTGTCACCCAGCCTGGAGTGCAGTGGCATGATCTTGACTCACTGCAACCCCCGCTTCCTGAAGAACGTTGACTAGTACACCAGGGATGGAAGCGTGGTCAGGTGAGCAGGCTGATTCCCCAGACTTTGCATTCCAGCCACATCCTCCTTCTTTGTAGACTCAGGCTGTCACAAGCTAATGGGTTCTTCTTGCGTGTTGCCCACTGTCCCCCAAAAAATGAGAACAGCAGGTGTTGCAGCAAAGAAAGAGTTTACTAATTGCAGGGCCAGCCAAGCATGGAGAACAGGAGAAACTTCTTAAGCCTGTCCCCCGGAGAATTCGGAGGCTAGAGTTTTTTAATGGTACTTTGGCAGATGGGGCTTGGGAACTGGAATAATTGTATGGGTGGGAACAAAATAACAGGTGTGTCTAAAACTGCCTTTTAGTAGCTGAGTCAGTTCCTGGGAGTTGGGGAGTGGGTCTTAGGACCAGGTGGCATCTGTTTGTCTGTTGAAATGCTAAATCTAAAAAAATATCTCAAAGACTAGTTATTTAGTTTTCACAATGGTGTAGGAGTACTTGGGAAGCTTTTAAATCATGTAACCCCTGGTTACATGACTCTGGGGCAATAAGCAACTTGTAGAAAACACACTAAGCAATGGCAGGTCATTGTTTATGCCTATTCTTTAGCAAAGCTCAAGCCCCTGCCATAATTCTAATCTTATCTTATTAATGCAGCTTTGGTCTCTGAAAAAGGAGGGGGTCAGTTTTCCTTGCCTCAAACTTTAACTAAATTCCTCTTATGGTTATTTTGGCCTCTGCGCTAGAATAAGCAAAAAACAATTTAACCTGTGAGGTTAGAATCAAGATGGAGCCCATCATGTTAGATTTATTTCATTACTTACAATTCTGCAAAGGCACTTTCAAGGCTGTCTACAGTATAGCTGAAGGTCAGGCCTGCAGCTAGCACGTGCAGTGCTTTTATGCAAATTAGAAGACGGCATTTCCACCCAGTCCCTGTTATCATGAGGATGAACTCCAACCAGCCGGAAGATGACAGGGGAAACCTCAGAAAAGGATTGGATGCTGAATACATTTGACAACAGACCTAAGGCAAAAACAAAGAAAGGGAACAGATGAATGGCATAGAGTGGGGCAGACTCTTTGTGAAATGGCCTTGTGCCCACATGACTCTGGACTTGGCCCTTGTCTGGTCACTGGAACAACAGTAGACGAATGCAGGTGGAGACTTGAGCAGCGCTTGTGTGTTGGGGCTCGCCCCTCCGTGCTGCTGCGAGCCCCCCTGTGCCCATGTGAACAAGCCCAGGCTGGCCTGCTGCTTGATTACAGACATATGGCTGTGGCCTCAGCTGACAGCAAGCCAGACCTGGCAGTCAGGCCCCTCAAGACCAGCCACACTGCCGTCTCCCGAACTAATGATGTGAAGAGCCACTCAGCCAACCCACAGAACCATGGGAGATAATGACTTCGTTGTTTTAAGCCACTAAATTTAGGGGTGTTTTGTTAAACAGAGAAAGCTAAATGATACAGGATGCCAGTGTTATATGTGCCGTGGCAATGTCTGAATCAGGTAGAGAGCAGAACAGCTTGTGTACTACCTTGTCTGTAATGCTGACAAATCATATTGTCCAAATTTAAGAACACTGAAGAATGAAAAGATCACCATTAAGCAAAAACAGTGTTATTGCCTAAATAACAATGGAGTTTGAGACCAGCCTGGCCAACATGGCAAAACCCCGTCTCTACTAAAAATACAAAAATTAGCCGGGCGTGGTGGTGCACGACTGTAGTCCCAGCTACTCGGGAGGCTGAGGCAGGAGAATCACTTGAACCTGGGAGGTTGAGGTTACAGTGAGCCAAGATCAGGCCATTGCACTCCAGCCTGGGTGACAGAACGAAATTCCATCTCAAGAAAAACAAAAGAAAGAAATGTAAGAAGAAATGAACGAAAACACACCAATAATAGACCTTAATTTACATGTTTCAGTCTGACACAGATAAAGTTGACAAAATTGTTCTATCAATTTCACTATTTTGTAGGCATTATAAATAAAGATCATATAGTTCTAAGGGAAAAGTATGAGAAACAATAGATCATGCAAGTGTGTGACTGTGTATCTGATGAATCTGTGCATGCTGTGTGTTTAGAGGTGTGTAAAGATGAAAGAGCCTTAGGGACATATGATAAATTGTTTAAGTGAAAAGAATTGTAAGTCTATAAATTTTAGCAAATTGTTTTGATGATTTCAGCCTTTTAAGAAATATGCTAATTAATTATTTAACATAAATCTATATGGGCTGGGCATGGTGGCTCATGACTGTAATCACAGCACTTTGGGAGGCTCGAGGTAGGAGGATCGCTTGAGTTCAGGAGTCCAAAACCAGCCTGGGCAACATGGTGAAACCCCATCTCTACAAAAGATACAACAAAATTAGCCAGGCGTGGTGGCGCACACCTGTAGTCCCAGTTACTTGGGAGACTGAGGTGAGAGGATTGCTTGCACCCGGAGTTCGAGGCTGCAGTGAGCTGAGATCATACCACTGCACTCCAGTCTGAGCAACAGAGTGAGACCCTGTCTCAATAAATAAATAAATAAGTAAAATCTATATGTTCATTTAGAGAACAGCCATGGCAACGCTAGCCTGTGCCAGGGTCCATATAGGGACATCCAAATTGAAATGCAGTCATTTATGAGTTAATTCATCAAGTTACTAGCCTCAGAGCATCCGGTTTAAAACAATTTAAAAGGTTAGGCTTCACAATAAGAGTATAGTCAGGATGCCGAGTAATGCATTTGCTGTTTTCTGTGCTCTAAACATCACCCTTACCATGGAAAAAATATTTCTTACCATTCTTCCATTGCAATCCTTGGCACTTAGCTAAAAGAACAGAAGTATCTGAAGCAGATACATTAAGTTTTCAGAGAATTACATTCTATTGGGGAGGGGAAGGAGGATAAAATAATAAAATTCTGAGGAATTTGGTTTCAAATAAAGAAACCGAGGCCCTGGTTGTCTAAATAGCGTTGCACAGCTAGGTAGAAGGATGACTGAGATTAGAACAAAGTTTACTGCTTTCCAGGAAGAAAAATGTTCAGTTTCTTCTAGCTCTGCCATCTGAATATTCGTTAGACTTAGAACCACGCCTAATTTAGGATAAATGTTATCTTTCATATGATACATTTTATATGTGTTAATCTATCTATGAAGTGTTGTCAACATATTTATAATTTGCTGGGCCTTTAAGAGGTATCTTCTGGAAGCCTCATACCCTTGCATTTTATAATCTTTAAGATGGTTAGTTCTTCCATGACATCACATTAATACATTAGCAGATGCTCTTTCATTGGTTCTCTCTCATGGCCACTGGTCCCTTTTCCACTATTGCAGCTGTTTTGCTGACCTTATTTTCTCACTGGGAATATGCCCAGTCAGCTGTGGAAAACAAAACCCAAGAAACACAAAATTTAACAGTTGCATACATTTATTTAAAAATAACAATGAATGCAGGGCTTCTTATGTTAAAAATCATCTATACACATGTTTCAAAGCCAAAGTGCACCAAATTTCCAAAATAAAGCTTTTGGAAACATTAGCGGGCGTGAGTGGACTTGGTAAGCTGATGGTCCCCAAGCCAGATGTGAAGATAAAATGCTGTGGCGAGACGCAGCAGTGTTTTCCATGTTAAACACATTTTCAAAACTAGTAAACATTGTGACTTGATAAGACCTCGAATCAATAAAGGGACTCAGGGTAGAATCTAAGCATGTTCTACAAATGGAAGTCTGTTAAGATGAACTCTTAAAGACTTGGGTTATATACAGGTAGTCAAAAATATTTTAAAGTGGCTGGGCACAGTGGCTCACGCCTGAAATCTCAGCATTTTGGAAGGCTGACGTGGGTGGATCATTTGAGGTCAGGAGTTTGAGACCAGCCAGGTCAACATGGTGAAACCCCACCTCTACTAAAAATACAAAAATTAGCCAGGTGTGGTGGCATGCGCCTGTGATCCCAGCTACTCAGGGGACTGAGGCAGGAGAATCGCTTGAACCCGGGAGGTGGAGGTTGCAGTGAACCTCCACCACTGCACTCCAGCCTGGACAACAGAGTGAGACTCTGTCTCAAAAAAAATATATATATATATAATGTACATATATGTGTATATGTGTATATATGTGTATGTGTGTGTGTATGTATATATATATATATATATATATATATATTAAAGCATCTGGAGAGTGCCCAGTTTTGCCATAATGGATTGTTAATATTAATTGTCTTCGTGTTTCTTTCCATTTCATAGATTATTTGGGATAAACCTTGAATCCTATTCTTGGCAGCTATAGCAAGTGCCCAGAATATTCCTGGGATCCTCCTGACTGCCCACCTGGAGCATGCCTTCTTATTTTTATTTTTAACCTTAGCTGGATTGTGGGGGAGAGGTGTGGGGCAGATATCATTCATTACCATTTCAAATGCAAGAGACTAATATATGTAAAAAAGCTGTCTGTTTTGAGTTGTCATTGCTATTCCTCCATTAGGGCATATTCTCAAGATCTTCTGTCTTTTTAAAATGCAATACAAGCCAACAGCTATTCAGGGGTTTCTAATTTCTCATGTATTTGGTCTGTAATAGAATATATTAGTATATTTAAAAGCCATTGTCCTTTTTTATTATATAATCTGTATTTTTGAGATCCTTTGAGCTTTTTTCTTGAATTGTGCTTTCCTTCCAATAATGGCAATTTTGTAACTCCTGTGTCTAAGGAAGGGTTCAGAATAAGAACACGGTAAATGAATAGAATGTCAACTTGAATGTGACAGGCTGTAAGACCATGGCTGATGGGAAAGAGGAGGAAACAGAGGCCTGTGGTGGGGATCAACTCAGCTACAGGGTAGGCTCAGAGGGAGACAGGCAGTAATTGAGTTTTTAATGTTCCATTGCATTAGGTAATTTTTTTTTTTTTTTTTTTTTTTTTTTTTTTGAGACGGAGTCTCGCTCTGTCGCCCAGGCCGGACTGCGGACTGCAGTGGTGCAATCTCGGCTCACTGCAAGCTCCGCTTCCCGGGTTCACGCCATTCTCCTGCCTCAGCCTCCCCAGTAGCTGGGACTACAGGCGTCCGCCACCGCGCCCGGCTAATTTTTTGTATTTTTAGTAGAGACGGGGTTTCACCTTGTTAGCCAGGATGGTCTCGATCTCCTGACCTCATGATCCACCCGCCTCGGCCTCCCAAAGTGCTGGGATTACAGGCGTGAGCCACCGCACCCAGCCTGCATTAGGTAATTTTGAATCATCCTCTTGTTTGTGCAGATAGTAACTTACTCAAAGACTTCCAGTCCGGTTGTGATGGAGTAGCATTAGACTTACCATTCTATCATGAAGACTATAACAAATGCACAAAACATGTGAAACAATGGTTTTCAGGCCTTGGACAGTGGCTTAAAGCCTTGAGCTGCCTTGAGCCAAGGGAGGTACTTGATATTTATCCTGGCTTTCTGCTTGAAGTTGGTTTCTAAACCACAGTGGGGGATAATTTAGTCAAGCAAAGAGAGCAGCAGGGAAGGGAAGCTGGGCAGGGAATCTGGAAACATTGCTTGTGGCTTCTGTGACAGTGGCAATTTGTGTGTCAGGGTACCAGATGAGAGACAATTCCTTAACTTTGTATAAGGCCTCCCTTAAGGTCCTTGGCTAAATCTTAAACTGAACATGTCCGGGGCAAGACACTATGATGCCTAATAGAGAACAGCTCCTAGGAACAGAGAGTTGATCAGAGATTTCAATGATAACTCATCATTGAAGAATTTCAGCCAGTCAAGCCATAGACCTTGGTGGGCATCTCTGGCATTTAATTAAAACCCCAGAAAGGTCATTTCATTAAGAGTAAGAACCATGCTATAGAAGTAAGGGCTGTGCCTGATGACTAAGGGAAACATTGAAATAGACATGTCGAAAAGCCCAGCCTCAGCAAAATTGAAGGGATCCACCAGACTCCCTGAACAAAACTCAGCCCGCTTTAGAGAAAGGTAACAAAATTCAGAGTTTCTAGGAGTCACACAATGTCTGGCATATGCTGAAAAATCAGTTCTATGTGTGAAGAAGGAAAAAAATGTGATGGTTTATCAAAAGGAGGAAAAATGATCAAAAGAGACAGACTCAAAGGTGAACTAGATGTTGGAATTAGCAGAGAATAGTCTTTAAATAATTGTTATAAATATGTTAAAGCAGAGGTCCCCAACCCTTGTGCCACAAACCGGTACTAGTCCATGGCCTGTTAGGAACGACGCCACACAGCAGGAAGTGAGTGGCGGGCAAGCGAGATCTGTATTTACATCCACTCCCCCTCATTCACATTACTGCCTGAGTTCCACCTCCTGTCAGATCAGTGGTGGCATTAGATTCTCATAGGAGCATGAATCCTATTGTGAACTGCACATGGGAGGGACCTAGGTTGCACTTTCCTTATGATAATCTAAAGCCTGATGATCTGAGGGGAGCTCAGGCAGTGATGTTAGTGCTAGGGAGTGGCTGCAAATACAGGTTAACATTAGCAGACAGTTTTCACTGCACAGAGACCATAAGACCACAATAAATCCACTGCTTGCAGGCTAATATCAAAACCCTACCAGTGAGTGGCAAGTGACAATTAAGCTGCAATTGGTGGCTGGCAAGTGAGTCAATATACTTCAGTTGTACAGCTGCATCTGGTGGCCTTAAAAGTATGTTTGAGACAACTTCAAATCCCCATATGTTCTGGATTAAAGTCAAGGCGGAGTATCCTGAGATTGCCACAAAAGCACTGAAAAACCTGCTTCCATTTCCAGCATCCTCTGTTTGTGAAGCAGGGTTTTCTGCAGTGACAGCAACCAAAACGAGATACTGGACAAAATGAGAACAGACTGGACATAAGCAACACACTTCAGGTATCTCTTCTCCCATCACCCCCAGATGGGACTATCTAGTTGCAGGAAAACAAGCTCAGGGCTCCCACTGATTCTTTGTTATGGTGAGTTGTATAATTATTTCATTGTATATTACAATGTAATAATAATAAAAAAAAGTGCACAATAAATGTAATGTGCTTGAAACATCCCGAAACCATCCCCACCCCCACCCTCATCAGTGGAAAAATTGTGCCAAAAAGGTTGGGGACTGCTGTGCTAAATAACTTACTGGAAAAAGTTGATGAAATGATGGAAAATTTTAGCAGAGAAATTGAAACTCTAAAAAAGAACCAATTAGAAATTATGGAACAGAAAAATATCTGAAATGATGAGCTCATCAGAAGGGCTTAACAGCAGACCAGACACAATAAATGAAAGAATAAGTAAACACAAAACAGATTGTAGAAATTACCTAAGTAAAGCATGGAAAGGAAAAAGAATTTCAGCTGGGTGCAGTGGCTCACGCCTGTAATCCCAGCACTTTGGGAAGCCGAGGCTGGTGTATCACCTGAGGTCAGGGGTTCGAGACCAGCCTGGCCAACATAGTGAAACCCTGTCTCTACTAAAAATACAAAAATTCGCTGGGTGTGGTAGCACATGCCTGTAATCCCAGCTACTCAGGAGGCTGAGGCAGAATTGCTTGAATCTGGAAGGCAGAGGTTGCAGTGAGCTGAGATTGTGCCATTGCACTCCAGCCTGGGAAATATTAAAGGAGGTTCTTCAGGGTCACTATGCATTGAATGTTTGTGTCTCCCAAATTCATATGTTGAACCCTAATCCCCAATTGGATCATATTCAGAGGTGGAGCCTTTGGGAGGTGATTAGAATTAAGTTAGGTCATGAGGTTGGGGACCTCCTGGTGGAATTAATGCCCTTATAAAAAGAGGAAGAGACATGAGATCTCTGTGTGTAAATGCACAAGGGAAGGCTGTGTGAGGGAGGACATAACCTGGAAGAGAGCCCTCACCAAGGACTCAGTGTGGCTGGCACCCTGACCTAACTCCAACCTCCAGAACCGTGAGAAAATAGATTTCTATTGTTTAAGCCCCCCAGACTATCGTATTCTGTTATAGCAACCCGAACTAAGACAAGGGTGAGGATAAAAGATCCCAGTTGGAAGCCCATATCTTCAAGAAGGAATGAAGGCCACTAGAAGCAGAAATGGTTAGATAAATAGAAAAGAACAGTTCAAAAAATACATTTTAGAGCCTACTGACCACTTGAAATAACTAATAACAGAGTATGGGTGGATTTATATAATATGTAGAGGTAAAATATATAATACGTAACCTAAAGGGGAGTGAGTGGTTAAAAGAAATTAAACTGTTGTAAGTTTCTAGCATTGTACATGAAGTTGTATATCAACTTAAGGTAGAGTATGATAAGTTAAGGAGGCATATTATAATCCCTAGAGCAACAACTAGGTATAAAATAAAGAGTTATTACTAATTGAATGCAAAAGATAAAAAGGAATAATAAAAATGCTTGATTAATTCAGAAGTCTGGAAAGGAGAAACAATGGATGAGAAGGGACAAGTGGAAACAAAACAGAAAGATGGCAGACTTACACCCAACCATATGAGTAGTTCAAAACGTAAATGGAATAAACACACCAATGAAACAAGAGAGTTTGTTTGGACAGAAAAAAGAAAACTTGACCCTATAATGTTTACAAGAGACTATCTTTAAATATAAGGATACAGAAAGGTTAAAAGTAAAATAATGGAAAAAGAAACAGTATAAGAAAGCAGATGCAGCTATATTAATATCATTGCTATACTGATATAGCTGATGACCTACATTAATATTTCCAGGGAGAAGGGTGTGCTTTTCATCCTTATGATAAAGAATAATGATAAAGGGTTAATTCTTCAGGAAGTGTTAACTGTCCTAAAGTGTATTCACCCTGTATGCCTCAGTAATTTATAGAACTAAGATTTTAAAAAAGTCAAATTCACATTATGCCATTTCTCTTTCAATAACTGATAGAATAATAAGCAGACAAAAAATGGATAAAGATATATAAGATTTGAACCACACTATAAACCAATTTGAACTAATTGGTCAAAATTTGAGAACATTATACCCAACAACTGAAGAATATGTATTCTTTTCAAATGGATATGAAACATCACCAGAATAGATCATATTGTGGACCATAAATAATTTTGGATAAATGTCAAAAGTTTAAAATCAAACAGAGTGTGTTTCTTAACCACATGGGAACCAAGCTGGAAGTCAATGACAAAAAGATTATCAGATAAGCTCCAACTGTTTAGAAATGAATCTACATAATATATGGGTTTAAGAAGAAATCACAAGAGACATTAGAAAACGTTTTTAACTGAATGATAACGAAAATACAACAAATAAAAAAATTTAGGATGGCTCATGCTTGTAATCCCAGGGCTTTAGGAGGCTAAGGTGGGAGGATCTCTTGAGTCCAGGAGTTCAAGACCAGCCTGGGCAACATAGTGACACCCTGTCTCTACCAAAAAAAAAAAAAAAGAAATTAGTTGGCACAGTGGTACATGCCTGTGGTCCTAGCTACTCAGAAGGCTAAGGCAGGAGGATCATTTGAGCCCAACAGTTTGAGGCTGCAGTGAGTCATGATCATGCCACTGCTGTCTAGCCTAGGCAACAGAGCGTGACCTTGTCTCTTTAAAAATATATATATATATTTATATATTATATATATTTTATAATATATATATAAATATATATTATATATAATAATATTTTTATAATATATATATAAATATATATTATATATAATAATATATATATTATATATTTTTATATATTATATATGTTTATATATATAATATATATAAATATATACATATAATTTTTATATATAAAAATATATATATATTTAAAAAGAAGGAAGATTTAAAGCCAGTAATTCAGTTATACCCCCAAGAAGCTAGAAAGAGAGGAACAAGCTAAACCACGGAAAAGTTGAAAGAAGAAAATAAAGGGCCGGGTGTAGTGGCTCACGCCTGTAACCCCAGCACTTTGGGAGGCCGAGGTGGGTGGATCACCTGAAGTCAGGAGTCCGAGATCAGCCTGGCCAACATGGTGAAACCCCATCCCTACTAAAAATACAAAACTTAGCCAGGCATGGTGGCAGGCACCTGTAATCCCAGCTACTCGGGAGGCTGAGGCAGGGAGAATTGCTTGAACCCAGGAGGCAGAGGTTACACTGAGCTGGGATAGTGCCATTGCACTGCAACCTGGGCAACAGAGCAAGACTCTGTCTCAAAAAAAAAAAAAAAAAAAAAAAAAAAGAAAAGAAAAGAAAGGGAAGATGAGGGCAGAAGTCAATGAAATGAAAAAAAGACAAACAATAGAGAAAATCAACAGAAACAAAAGTTCTTTGAAATGACTAATATAATTGATAAATTCCCTCATAACATGATAGAGAGAGAGAGAGATTAAGGGAGAAACAAACAAATCAAATTATCAATTACCAACATCTCCAATGAAAAGGGGGGCATCACTGCAGATCTTAAAGATATTAAAAGGATAACAAGGGAATATCATGAATGTATTGGAAATGGAGAAAATCCTTTGAAAAACACAACTGCATAAATCTGACAGAAGTAAAAAAAAATCTGAGTAGTCATATTTGCTAAAGAAATTAAATCTATAATTTAAGACCTTCCCACAAAGAAAACTTAGGCACAGATAGCTTCATTGGTGAATTCAACCAATCTTTTAAAGAAAAGAAATATATACCAAGCTTGCATAACTCTTAGATAAAAGAGGAAGAGATGACACTTTCCAATTCATTTTGTGAGTCTCCTATAACTCAGATACCAAAATCTGACAAGGACATTACAAAACAAAAACAAAACAAAACAAAAAACCGACATGTCATCTACGTCTCATGAACATAGAGGCAAAATTCCTAAACAAACTATTAGCAAAATCAAATCCGGAAATATATGAAAAGGATTATATATCATAACCAAGTGGGGTTTATCTTAGAAATGCAAAGTTGATTTAATCTTTGTAAATCAATTCACTATGTTAACAGAAATAAGGAAAAAACCCAAATGATTATCTAAATAGAGAAAGCAGCTGACAAAATTAAACCCTGTTTATGGTATTCTTTCATTCAACAAATAATTATTAAATGCCTACAAGGGGTCAAAACAAAATATCTCATCCTTCTGGAGCTCACACTAGTGGAGAGAGAGAAGAGAAGCAAAAACACAGATAAGTGTACAGTGTGACATCAGCTAGTGACAAGGGCTGTGGGGAAAAGTAAACCAGGAGAAATGCAGGTCGATGGTCTCGGAAACCCTCTATAAGAAGGTGACATTTTATCAGGAACCTGAATAACATGAGTATCTTAGGCTGCCATAACAAATTACCACAAACTTAGTGGCTTAAACAACACAAATATATTATCTTACAGTTCTGAAGCTCAGAAGTCCAATGAGGGTATTACCCGGCCATGATCAAGGTGTTGGCAGGACTGCATTCCTCTCTGGGCTTCTGGGGGAGGATCCATTTACTGCCCCGCTGCGTCGTTGGCAGAATTCAATTCCTTGCATTTTAGGACTCAAGCCCCATTTCCTTACTGGCTGTCAGCTGAAGGCCATTCCCAGATTCTAGGGGCTGCCAGGTTCCCTGGCTTATGGCTCATTTCTTCCCTCTGCAAAGTTGACAATGGCGGATGGAGTCCCTCTCATGCTTTGACTCAGTCTCTCTCCAATTAGTGTCTACTTTCTGACTTAGCCAGGAAGATTTTCTGCTTTTTCTGTCTTCAAGGATTCATGGTTACATCGGGCCCACCCAATAATCCTGAATCAGCTCCCCAGCTTGCCTGCCACAAAATAGATAGGAGGGAGGGAGGCATGTGGCTCTCTGGGGAGAGGGTATTCCAGGCAGAGGGATGCAAAGTGCAGACTCAGTCAGGGCCACTGTGTCTGGGGAGGCTGAAGCACAGGGGTGAGGGTGAAGCAGCAGGAAGTGAGGCTGAGGAGCCTGTTGGGAGCCATTCAAGCACCTCTCTAGGCAGATTTGCTGGCATTTTCATTCATCTGTAGCTGTTTGTTGAGTATTACCAAAGGCCAGTGTGGAGCCAGGGGCTATGTGAAATGTGGGGTGAAGTGAGCAGGCAGTCTGGGTTTCCATGGGGTCACACTGTGGATAGGCAGTACTGGAGCAGCTTGCTTCTTACCGTTGTAAAGGTCATGCACCACACAGGAGCTGAATTGTTGGAGTCCCCACCTCAGGACTTCAGAAAGTAACTTTACTTGGAGATAAGGTCTGTACAGAGATGAGCTGACATGAGGTTCTCAGGATGGGCTCTAATCCAATGATTCATGTTCTTTGCAAAGAGGAAATTTTGACCCAGAGACAGGCACCCCAAAAAGAAAGATGATTGTGAAGACACAGGGAGAAGATGGCCATCTGCAAGCCAAGGAGAAAAGCCTGGGATGGGTTCTCCCTCACAGTCCCCAGAAGGAACCAACCCTGTGACATCTTGATCTGGGACTTGTGGCCTCCAGCATCATGAGACAATAGATTTCTGCTGGTTAAGACTCCCTGTCTGTTACAGCAGCCCAAGCCGACTCATCCATAATACACAGGGGGCCTGGCAGAGGGCAGCAGGGGCCTGGGCTCCCTCTCCAGGCCCTGCACCTGGAGGAAATGGGTGCTTTGAGAGCTTCACACAGAGGAATCATCACTCGCCAGGCTGTGCCATGCAGGGAGATGTCTACCTGGAATTGTTATAAGTTCATAAAGTGCTCTAGGTCATCTGGGGTTCATCCTGCTTTCGCCCACCCAGTATTTGTTATCCACTTGTCCCTCACTAATATGATCTTAATTTTATTCTGGGCAACAATGTACTAAAATTAAAAAAAAATAGAAACCAAACCAAACCAACAGAGACATGTATTTCCTGGCTTCCTCTGCAGATGAAGATGCCTTGTGACTAAGATCTGGTCTGTGGGCTCGAAGTAGAAGTTGGATGGGAAAGAAGTCCCTTAAACATGGGATGACTTGGCCAGGCATGGTGGCTCACACCTGTAATCCCAGCACTTTAAGAGGCCAAGGTGGGCAGATCACGAGGTCAAGAGATGGAAACCATTCTCGCCAACATGGTGAAACCCTGCCTCTACTAAAAATACAAAAATTAGCTGGGTGTGGTGGCGCACACCTGTAGTCCCAGCTACTCGGGAGGCTGAGGCAACAGAATCACTTGAACCTGGGAGGCAAAGGTTGCAGTGAGCTGAGATCATGACACTGCACTCCAGCCTGGGGGACAGAGCAAGACTCCGTCTCAGAAAAATAAAAAATACAAAGGGGATGACTCAGCCAGACTTCTTCCTCCTGTTGCCACTCCCAGTAGCTATCTTAGATGTGTAAGGGTATGGATCACACCCGAAAGACCATAGAGTTCTCAGTGGCATTGCAGAGCTGTTATGCCAGCCCTGGACTGCTTCTGGCAGGCTGGGGGAAATGCACCCTTGTCTTTTTTTTTTGAGACAAAGTCTCATTCTTCTCACCCAGGCTGGAGTGCAATGGCGCCATCTTGACTCACTGCAACCTCCACCTCTCGTGTTCAAGCGATTCTCCTGCTCCAGCCACCTGAGTAGCTGGGGTTATAGGCGCCCACCACCATGCCTGGCTAATTTTTTGTATTTTTAGTAGAGATGGGGTTTCACCATGTTGGTCAGGCTGGTCTCTAACTCCTAAACTCAGGTGATCCACCCGCCTCGGCCTCCCAAAGTGCTGGTATTACAGGCGTGAGCCACTGCCCCCTGCCCCCTTGTCTCTTCTAAGCCACTGTTTTCCTAACTGATTCAGACTACAATCCTTACTTCACAAAAGTATTCTACACAATTGTCCAGAATTCCCAAATTCATGGCTGCCTGCTAACATAGCATTTCTTCTTGAAGTGTGAGATAAATGATTTTGTAAGCTGTAGAAAAAGACCAGGGACTACCAGCCAGGTAATCTTGGGCAATTCACTTAATCTTTAGTCTCTTCTGCAAAATGGCGATAGTGATGGTTCCCATCTTTTAGAGACGTGATGTTGCAAAGGCATCTAAGGCTCTTAGAATAGGCCTGAACACCTGGGAAAAACAAGAGAAGTTATTTCTTATTATTGTTGCTCCCTAACTAACATTGAGAACAGTTTCCTTTGAGACCATTTCTCTCATCCTATTCAAGTAGTGTCTAATTCCAGGCCAAGTTCTGGATTGGAGCAGTGATGGCAGACAATCTAATCATTTATGTAAGCATCAATAAGCACACGTGCTAAGCCAAGGTCCCAGTATTGGTCAATTTTCCCTGAATTTGGGTTTTCATAATAACGCCAACTAAAGCTGATCAAGGTCAGGATGTGCAAGAGATGTTTTGTTGTCATGGTCTCCCGGGGGCAAGGCTGCTCCTGGGCTCTGAAGGCTCCATGGTAGAATGTTACCAATGCACACAGAGTCTCCTGGGCCAAGCCACGTGAATCAAACTGCCCAGAGCCTTTTGTGTAAATCAGTAATCTCCAATGGGGTCCATGCCTTCTCAGGGCCTGACACCCTAGTTTTGCTCTCAACAAACACTAAGAAACTGAATTAGAAATCCAGAGTCGTCGGTGAGCATAGAGCAAATCAATAAGAAGTGGATTATCTTGTGAGGGCAGGGATTTGTGTTCATGCCATTCAGTCTTATATCCTCAAAGCCTAGAACAGTGCCTTGCTCATAATAGGTGCTCATCCAATATTTGCTTGACAAATGAATGAATGGAGGGTCAGAAACAAATAGTGACAGCTCATCTAGGCCAGCAGCATGCAGCTTAACATGCCAGTTCCATGCCTGTGATAATACCACAGCTGGAGTTTATTTGGTAAAAACTATAATACAAAGTTCCTAACTTATGTTTGCACTAACTTCTGCAAATTTATTTGAATCACAGTATCCAAAACCACTAAGTCTGAGTATACTTAGGGTGAATATATATATAAAATGTGGCCAGGTGTGGTGGCTCATGCCTGTAATCCCAGCACTTTGGGAGGCTAAGGCAGGTGGATCACCTGAGGTCAGGAGTTCGAGACCAGTCTGACCAACATGATGAAACCCTGTCTCTACTAAAAATACAAAAATTAGCCAAACGTGGTAGTGGGCGCCTGTAATCCCAAGTACTCTGGAGGCTGAGGCAGGAGAATTGCTTGAACCCTGGAGGCGGAGGTTGCAGTGAGCTGAGATCATGTCACTGCACTCTAGCCTGAGCAACAGAGAGAGATTCTGTCTCAAAAAAAAATGTATTATGAAAAATGTATCATTAGATTCTATTGGCTGCAGTTAACAGAAAGCATAAAAGCATAATTTGGAATTTTTTTGTCGTTTTTTTTTTGAGACAGGGTCTCACTCTGTTGCCCAGGCTGGAGTGCAGTTGTGCAACTGTAGCCCACTACAGCCTTGAACTCCTGGGCTCAGGTGATCCTCCTGCTTCAGCCTCCTGAGTAGCTGGGACTACAGGTGTGAGATACCTGGCTTTTTTTTTTTTTTGGTAGAAATGGGGTCTCACTATGTTTCTCAGGTTTCCCAGGTTAAACAAAATGAGACTCCCATGTTGAGCCTGGCCAAGACAGTGATTCTTATTTATCTGCCTCTCTAAGACCTTTCTACTTGGTCTTCTTTCTGAATTGACAGACTTTTCTCAGTCCATGGGTGACAGGCAGAACTTCTGTAACTGACTCAATAAATTGTGTTATCCTTCAAGTAAGACCTGGTCTACAGGATACAACTCAAACAGGTAACAAACAATACCTACCCACATGCACCCACAGCATCCACACAACAGACATTACACATACGTCACAATGGTGGGTCCTTCTGCAAAAATCTCGTGCAAAAATATGAGCCCTTAAGGTGTATTTGCTCAAATGTTCTCTGCTGTTGTCTTAATGGTGTTTCAGTAACAAATCACCCTGAAACAGTGGTTTGAAAAGTAGCAAAAGTTGATTTTGACTGTGAGTCTGGAGTTAACAGGATCAGCTGAGCAGTCCTTGCTTAGGGTTTCTTATGAGGTTGTAACCCGTGGCTGCCTGGGGCTGGGGTTAACTTGAAAGGTTCTTTAGTCACATCTGGCACCCTGACTGGGGAGATGGAACAGCTGGGACTCCCCAGGCATCTCTCTGTGTCTCTCTCCTGCATCTCCATGCGTGGCCTCTCCAGCATGGCCGCCTCAGCACAGCCGGATTCCCGACATGGCACCTGAGGCCTTCAGCCACGGGTGACCTGCGAACCTCTGCGTCTGCTCTTCAGTATCCCATGGATCGGAAGAGGAAAGGAAACTTGTGAATGCTCAGGTTAATAGGGGGCGGCCGAGACCATGGCAGTCGAAAATCCACGTAATGAAGCTGAAAGCCTCCAGCAAGGCATCCAGTATACACGATGTGAGACATCTGCATCCTGTCGGGTTTTCATACTGACATGCTACTTTTTGAGGCATGAGCCCTGACTTCTCCTGGCAGGGCTGGAATGGGGTAAATCTGGGCCCCCTGAGAATTTGGGAGCTGACGATGACCACAGGGGGAGGCAAGATAGGAAGTGGTGTGGGCTCCAGCTGCCTGAATCTAACTCCCAGCTCAGCACTATCTCTGTGGCCTCTCAAGGAAATTTCTCAAACCCTCTTAGTCTCCTTTCTCTCCACTGAAAAATGAGGGTCATGGTAGCACCTACCTCATGGTTTTCGTGAGGAATACATTAGGTAACTCATCAAATTACTTAGAACATTTTTATCACAGAGTAATGCCCCAAAACTGTTAGTTATTATTAACATTTGTTTAACATCTTAAAATTTTTGCCATGAAGCATAGGATTTTTATTGACAAGATTTTGGCCCAATGTTCCCAACTCTCAGAAAGCGATGATGAGAGTATCCATGAGTAGACACGAATAGAGAGAAGAATAAAAATGTTCAGATTGGTTCGACACAAAGACAATTCTCCTTTAGCAATTATGAAGCTATAAAAAGAATGAGAGCAGCATTAGTCTTCTCAACACATTTCCAAAACAAGTTGGCTCAAGGATAAATTACAGTACAGACAAGTACTAAGTACCCTGGAAGCTACCTCCTTTGCACATCCCTATGAAAGTTTCAGGGCTGAATGCATTTTTTGGCAGCAAGAAAATCTGCCAAGCAGGAGTGTGAAAATTGAAATTACCAAGACTGGAACAAAGGCAAACACATTTCACCATTTTAAGGAGGCATCAAGGTTGAGCTTTGCAGCTGTTGTCCTGTATAAAAGAAAATACCAGCCCCTGGCTAGAAAAAAATGGAACATAATTATGTTATGATGAGCTGGGGGGAAATGGAAAAGGAAAATTGTAATGCAAAGCATGATGGATGCTGTTTTGTCGATCTGAACTGCTGGAATGCAGCAGTGGAGCGAAGCGGCATAACGACTCTTTCTTCACTTCCAATTTGGCAGGCAGAAAAGCAGCAACACACCACATCATTTTGTATTTTTTTTCTTAACATAATTATGTCAGATTTGTAGAATGGATCGTAGGGTCATCGGTAATGAAAATAAAACGGATATACCACTTTGAGGCAAAAAGCTGTAGTTCTCTTGAGTAGAGGTTTCTTGTTGCTTATTTATATTTTGAAAATTACGTGGAGGTCTTCTCTTAAGGTCATTTACACGATGGCAAACTATCCATCTTTGAGAACATGGCTTCTAGTAGTATGGATTTATTTACATCAAGTCAGGGCTGATCACATTTTAAATCATGATTTATTTCACAGTCGGGGAGACTCAACTCAAAGCATTCATCAAGGAGACTCAATTTGCTGTTTGTTGTGCAGCAGGTACAGTCTAGTGGCTTGGTTTCACGGCAAGTTAATGGGTGCGCTTCACAGAGCAGAAGATGTAGTATGTTTTATGCACTCTTTGAATTAACATATTTTCTTCTAATAATTTTATAACTGAATCAGAAATCTGAGTGATGATTCAGATATTTTAAACAAATTATTTGAAGCACATGCTTTAAATTTTAATTAATGGGGGATTAATCATTTCTAATTTAACAGATAACTGATAACCATGGATATATGGAGAATATATTTGCCATGCCACATTAAACAAAAACAAGTAATAACCCAAAGAAGGGATATCTGAACCATTTTTATTTAACAGAAATAACAAACAAACATATATTAAATTTGCAGGTTTAAAAAGTAACTTTGAAGTCAAGCATGTGCGATAAATTGGCAGCTGACAGACTGAGGCACAGAGGTCAGTTAGGACATTGTTTCAGTGGTTCAGGAACAAGCCAAGGGGCACCTGAGCCCAGGCAGTGGCAGTCAGTTGGAAGCAACAGGACAGCCTTGATGGACAAAGAAGAAAGACGTTGGAGTAGTGCAGGTGGGGAGCCCTGGAACAAGTCTTTGGATTTAAGACTGGATAGGATGTAAGACTGCATTCCGACTAAACTTTGTGTCTAATATCATTTTTCTTCACTAATGGCTTCTACTGCACTTAAAACTGAACTCATTATTATGACAGTACTTGAGGATTCTGAGTGTCCAGTGCCCGTTATTAATACATTGTTTACTGAGTGCTTCTCCCCCTTCATGCGAGGTCTTTTATCAGTTCATTTAGAACTGCAGACTTTTAAAAAAATCATATAATCATAGTTTTATTAACTATTTGCATATAAATTACTCACAGTTTATATGTATAAAAATTCATTTGCATATAAAACATTGCTGGGAGAAATTAAAGATCCACATAAATGGAAAAATATACTTATGAGTTGGGAGACTTGATGCAAGTTAAAATGTCAGTTCTCCCCAGATTGATCTATAGATTTAATCTGATTCCAATCAAAGGCCAGTAGACTCTTTTGGCAAAAATGAATGAATTCTAAAGCTAGAATTAGTGAATGCTTTTTTTTTTCTTTGAGACAGAGTCTCACTCTGTTGCTTAGGCTGGAGTGGGTGGTGCAATCTCAGCTCACTGCAACCTCTGCTTCCTGGGTTCAAGCGATTCTCGTGCTTCAGTCTCCCGAGTAGCTGGGATTATAAATGTGCACCTCCATGCCCAGCTAATATTTTGTGTTTTTAGTAAAGATGGGATTTTGCCATGTTGGCCAGGCTGGTCTCAAACTCCTAGCCTCAGGTAATGCGCCTACCTCAGCCTCCCAAAGCTGAAAGACTCACACAGTCTGATGTCAGGATCTCCTAGAAAGCTAAGTAATCAGGAGACAGCATGGTATTGGCATAGGCATGAACAAATAGATTATTGGAATAGACCAAAGTCCAGAAATAGACTCACAAGTAGTCAATGAATTTTTCAACAAGTGACACTGGGACCCAATTTTGAAAAATAGGCAAAAGGCTTAGACACTTCAAAAAGAGTAAATACAAATGACCAACAAGCCCATGAGGAAATGCTCACTCACATCATTAGTTGCCAGAGAAATGCAGTTTGAAACCACAATAAGGCTCCATCCTACACCCAACAGAATGACTAATATAAAAAAGACCTACAAAACCATGTTTACAAGGATGTGCAGCAACTAGAACTCTCATAAATGTTTTGTGAGAGCTCTAGTTGCTCCACATAAATGTCATAAATGTCTTGTACCATCAAATGGCATAACCACTTTGGAAAACTGATGGTTTCCTAAAAGTTAAATATATACCTACCCAGAGATTCCACTTGTAGGTTTTGCCCAAGTGAAACAAAAATATATGTTCACAATAAGACACACACAAAATAGTAAAAAACTTGAAACAACGCAAATGTCCAGCAATAGAATAGACAATTTGCAGCAGTCCATACAATAGACGACTAATCAGTAACAGAAAGGAACAAACTACCGACATATACAACAAACTACTGATATTGTGAATCTCAAAAATACCATGTTTAGCAAAAGAAGCTAGACACAAAAGAGTACACGTTGTATGATTCCATGTATATGAAGTTCTAGAACAGGCAGAATAATCTATAGTAACAGTATCAGAAAAGTGGTTGCTTGGAGTGGGAGGGTTGACTGGAAGTGGGCACAAGTGAATTCCTGGGGTGATCAAGACATTCTGTACCTTGATTGAGTGTTGGTTACATGGGTATAGATATTAGTCAAAATGCATTGAATTGCTCACTAAGATCTGCACACATTTCACTGTACGTAAAATTTACCTCAGTAAAAAAAAAAAAAAATGCAAAATTCCCCAAGGAATCATAGTTGCTTCTAATATTTACATATAAAATGTCTTTAGAAGTCTTCTAGTCAAAATCTCGCATTACTAATTTAGGGAGCACTAATACAATTCCATATATAAAAACTAAGAAAATGTGGGTGTGGCTGAGGCTGTTATTTCAAGGAAATCTTGAAAACGTTGTTAGTAATCATTTGTAACTACATGTCAATGTCTTCCAATTGGCTGGTGAGAAACCTTAAAATCTCACTTCTCCCAGCCAGTATTTCCAGGGTGTAGTAAGGGAGCAGGACTTAGAATTCTCTTGGTCATTCCCGACTTTTTAAGTCCCTGCTTCCACTGATCTTTTGTCTGTGTTCTAGAACACAGATCTAGATTTTGCTTTCTTTGCTTTGTCCACACTGCTTCTTTTTCTTAGGGCAATACTCATAAAACCAGCATGATTATTTCACTTTTCCAAGGACCACTGATTCAAGGTCCAATTCAGAGACTCTTTGAAAATGTTAAGCAGCGGGGCAGTTTAATATTGCAGCATAGCACATTGAATCATAAACATACTTCCGTGGAGCTTTTATTGCCTTTTTTCTTCTTTTTTTGAGACAGGGTCTCGCTGTCACCCCTGCAGGAGTGCAGTGACGTGATCTTGACTCACTGCAACCTCCGCCCCCAGGTTCAAGTGATCCTCCCACATCAGCCTCCTGAGTAGCTGGGATTACAAGTACACACCACCATGCCCGGCTAATATTTTGTATTTTTAGTAGAGACACAGTTTTGCCATGTTGCCCAGGCTAGTCTTGAACTCCTAAGCTCAAATGATCCTCCCACCTAGGCCTCCCAAAGTGCTAGGATTACAGGCGTGAGCCACCGTGCCCGGCCTCATTTTTTACATTTGATACCCAATCTCTGGCCACATAGCTGGGCCCCCTCTTGTCTACTTTGAATATTTTTCCCATCTCTTCTTTAGTTTGCTGCAATCCCCAATGCTCCTTCTTATTTCATAGTTTCTTTTTTCACTAATCTGGGATAGGCCCTGAAATCTGACTTTCAACATATCAAATAGTCCACTAAGGTATTTTGCTGAGACCCCTGAAAGGAATTTTAAGCTAATAAATATGCTCCTCTTCACGTACTCCCACACAAGGAAATATAGAACATTCTCACAAAGACCTTCCCATTTGAAGGAGAATGGGTGGACAGTGTGAATAATGCAGCTCTGGGGAGAAAGAAGGAAAGCTTTGCGAATGGAAAATCTCATGTATCACCACCAGGTCGTAGAAGAGGCCAGAAGGACTTTCTAGGATTCTTTGCTATGTGGAGCGAATGACTCACAGCCCATAGGAGTGAAGCACACCCTGTGAGGGTGGGTGTTCCAGACGTGACAGTGATGAGTGCTCAGAACAGACAGCAGGGTCCAGCCCCCAGCTGGCTCAACACTGCCCCCACCCCTACCCCCATGCCCTCAAGTCACATGAAATTTAGTAAAAGGCAACTCTTACTCTACATATTGGGGCTCAGGGGGAAGACAAATGAGTGTCAGATCAAGTGGACAAAATATCAAGGAGATACTTCTCCATGCAAGAGCAGAGCAAAAAGGAGATCCGGGCAGATGGGAACCATCAGAAGCATGTGTAAGATAAAAAGAAATGGCATGCAAATATGAAAGCCCATAACAACAAAAATGCATACAGTATTGCATAGAAATAACAAAGAACCCAATCTGGATGAAAATATAATCTAAAAAACAGAAGTAAACTTCCAAGTGTGTTTCATGATATGAAAGAACTAAAAAGAAGTATATGAACTGAATAAACTAGCTTAATGCTAGAACAAGCAGAGATGAGAAAGAAAGCAGCAGAGAAAAGGAACAATAAAGAAACTTCAAACACAGAGATTAATAAATAACGTAGGAAGAGCAAGAAATCAAACATACATGGCTGGGGAAAATGCTGATAGAGAAAAGATTTCAGAAAATCACAGTAATTGCAGAGGAGAAATACCAGGAGACTAAAGCAATTAAGGAAAAGATGACAGATTTGAAGGGATAACCACATAAAGATAATTAGAGTTCTGCAAATACGGAACCCAAGACATTGACCAGAAACAATATTCACATATAAAAATGAGTAAAAGATCCCTGTAATGGGGGAAAAATAAAACTCGTTTAAAGGGGTACACAGTGTTTGGGGGCAGATTACACAGAACAATCAATACCTTTAACCTGGTTAAGCTACTAAACTTTAAGACTAAAGACAGAATTCTTCAGGCATTCAGGTAGATAAACAAGTAATTTATAAGGGACAAAAATCAGCCTTGGATTTCTCTACAGCAGCATTCAATGCCAGTAAACACTGCAGTAGAGTAATGCTGGTAATGTTCTGAGGGGCAGAAAGTGAGATTCAAGTAATTATAGCCAGCCAAAGAGTTCTTCAATAGAAAGGAAACAGGAAGTCATACTCAAACATGGAAGAATTTAAGAAATATCGCATATGGCACTTGTTTAAAAAATGACTTGACTATAAATAGAACCAATGATGAGATTAAATTTTTTCATTAATAATAGTGGATAAAATACAATTTAAAAAGAAGGCCATAGTTATGTCATATAATCACAGAAATAGTAAACTCATATGAACACCACAAAAACTAAGCAACTGGGCTGGGTACAGTGGCTCACACCTGTAATCCCAGCACTTTGGGAGGCCAAGGCAGGCAGATCACTTGAGGTCAGGAGTTTGAGACCAGCCTGGCCAACAATGGCGAAACCCTGTCTCTGCTAAAAATACAAAAATTAGCCGGGTGTGGTGGCACGTGCCTGTAGTCCCAGCTACTTGTGAGGCTGAGGCAGGAGAATCACATGAACCCAGGAGGTGGAGGTTGCAGTGAGCCGGGATAGCACCATTGCACTCCAGTCTGGATGACAGAGCAAGACTCCGTCAAAAAAACAAAAACAAAAACAAAAAATTAAGCAACTGGAGAATGTTTATTGAATTAAGTGTAAATATTATAAAACTTGACAAAATAGAAATTAAATACAGCTAATAAAAATGCTGGTGAAGAAAACAAGTGTAAGAATATAATTTCATATTTCATAGCAGAGAATCAATAGTTTTGGGGTCTTTTTTTTTTTTGAAATTGACAACAGTGAAGAGAGGTGACTTGTTCCATCAAACACTGAAACATTAAAATGCCTCCACAGAAGTTAAAACAATGTGCTACTGAAGGAAGAATGGGCAACTAATTCACTGGAACAGAATGGAGTCCGTAAACCAACCTATGTTTATATGGGAATTGGGTGTACATAAGGTATGTCACGTGAAATCAACGGGATTATTTAATAAATTATTTTAGAAAAAAGTCTAGATATTAAAAAAAGATAGTATCTTAAAATATATAACACAAGAAACCCTTAATATTTTAAAATTATAAGAGGTTAAAAAGGGGAAATAAAAGAAAAAATAAAAAGAAGAAATTATAAGCAGTTTCTGAGTAGGGAAAGGACTTTACCATATGATGCTTTATCATATGAAGAAGAAGAAAAATAAAATGGTGTTAAAATTGACTACTTGAAATTTTAAACGTTTGTATGTGAAAAACCACCAGAAAAATGATTAAAATTAAATATGGACTGGGAAAGCTTTGCATCATATATAAAATTGACAACTAATATCTTCCATATGTGAATAACTTCTACAGTTCAGTAAGAAAATGAAGGAATAGGCCGGGCACGGTGGCTTATGCTTGTAATCCCAGAACTTTGGAAGGCTGAAGCAGGTCGATCACCTAAGCTTAGGAGTTCGAGACCAGCCTGGGCAACATGGTGAAACCCTGTCTCCACAGAAAAAAAAAAAAAAAAAAAAATTAGCCAGGTGCTGTGGCATGCGCATGTAATCCCAGCTATTTGGGAGGCTGAGGTTCAAGAATCACTTGAACCCAGGAGGTGGAGGTTACAGTGAGCCGAGGTGGCACCACTGCACTCCAGCCTGGGCGACAGAGCAAGACCCTGTCTCAAAAAAAAAAAAAAAAAGAGAGAGAGAAAATGAAAGAACAGATCAGTCACAAAAAGAAGGAACAAAAATACTTTCTTTTACTTGAAGATAAATGCATATTTAAAAATACCTGTGAAATACCAGGTCTGTTTTGCTTTTTCCATAAAATTTTAAAAAATTGGATAAAACACAAGGTAGGTGAAGTTTCAGGCAATGGGCACTATAAAGTAGCACAAATTTTTTATTGTTTTTGTCGTTTTGAGACAGAATTTCGATCTTGTTGCCCAGGCTGGAGTGCAGTGGCGCCATCTCGGCTCACTGCAACCTCCGCCTCCCGGGTTCAAGCGATTCTCCTGTCTCAGCCTCCTGAATAGCTGAGATTATAGGCGCCCACCACCACACCCAGCTAATTTTTGTATTTTTAGTACAGATGGGGTTTCATCATATCAATGAGGCTGGTCTCAAACTCCTGACCTCAGGTGATCTGCCCCCCTCGGCCTCTCAAAGTGCTGAGATTACAGGCGTGAGCCATCGAGCCCAGCCAGTAGCACAATATTTTGTGGGGAGACAATTTGGCAGTTCATTGTATCAGAACCTTAAAAAGGCCAGGCACAATGGCTCATGCCTGTAATCCCAGCACTTTGGAAGGCTGAGGCGGGCAAATCACCTGAGGTCGGGAGTTCGAGACCAGCCTGACCAACATGGAAAACCCCATCTGTACTGGGCGTAGTGGCACATGCCTGTAATCCCAGCTACTTGGGAGGCTGAGGCAGGAGAATCTTTTGAACCCGGGAGGTGGAGGTTTTGTGGTGAGCCAAGGTCGCACCATTGCACTCCAGCCTGGGCAACAAGAACGAAACTTCATTTAAAAAAAAAAAAAACCTTAAAAACTATACAGACCCTTTATGCAACAATTTTACCTTCAGGAATTTATCCTAAAGAAATAATTGCCAAGGCAGGAGGATCACTTGAGGCTAGGAATTCAAGGCCAGCCTGGGCAACATAGTGAGACTCCACCTCTACAAAAAATCAAATAAATTATCTGGGCAATTATCCAAGCATGGCAGTGCATGCTTGTGGTCCCAGCTACTTGGAAGACTGAGGTGGGAGGATTGCTTGAGCCCAGGAGTTTGAGGCTGCAGTGAACTATGATAGCACCACTGCACAATACTCAATTATTTGTTATTTTTCAGATTTTTGCCAATCTGATAGTTGAGAAACATCAGAATTACATTTTCTTCTCTATGGATCCACTCATACCACTTAGTATATTCATTTATTCAATAAATATTTATTCAAACATTTATCGAACATCTACTATGTACAAGGACACTGTTCTCTTCTAGGCTTTTGGGCTATATCCATTACAACAGAGATGAAGGTCCCTGCCTTCTTATAAAAAACATAAAATAACAGCAATGTTAAAGTGTTTTAAACTAACTTTTATTTATACCTTTGTCTCAAAAGATGCAAGCTACTGTTGATGAAGGGGAAAAGGTTTTTTATGATAGCTGACTGTATGGCATCATAGGAAGGACACTGAACTTGGAATTAAGAAACTTAGACCTGAGCCTGAGCCTTGCCTTTCACTAGCTGTGTAATGTTAAGTAATTCACTTAAATATCACTTGGTTTTATTTCACTATAAAGTGAGGGGGAATTGGACCAGATGGTTTCGGCAGTTCTTCCGCTCTATTGGGATGTGGCTCTATGTTAAACTATTGTACACTGAGACCAAAATGATTAATCTGAGATATGACCCCAAAAGATGTGTAAATGAGGTGCCCACTGATGAGAAATAGAGACCTGTTTGAGGGTGCGGGATCTTGATTTGAACCTCAAAGTCATTAATAGTACAAATGTTACCTTCCTATGTCTCTCCTGTGCTGTGGGTCACATTGCCTCTTATCTGACAGGGTCAGCTTCTGAGGACTGTCTGTGACCAGGGTCTGTTTCATTACTATGCTTTACTTTAATGAGACAAAGGTATTGAAAAAATTTTCAAATGTGAAATGAAAGAAAGCAAAAAATAATTATTTTCAATGTAAAATAATGTTTTGTTTCCAAGAAGATCTCCTACATGGTTTTTTAAATTTTAAAATCTCCTAGTCATTTTTGTAAAATTAAACAAGATACAGGTTACACGCAGCTTTTCCTAGAGGTGATACCTCTGCTCAAAGGCTGTATGATTTGGCCAGATATTGCCAAACTCCCCTCCATGGTGGGTAGTAGCATTCTGCATTCACACCAGCGATATCTGAGTGTGCCTGTCTCCCCACAGCCTCATCACAGAATACATTGGTTTCCTAGTGTAATTTCAATTTGCACCACTCATGTGATGACCAAGGTTGAGGTTCCAGACCCTTTTTGTTGGTTCCTTATTAGAGCACTTTAGATGGAGATGGGGAGTTTTACTTGCTCTAACGGGGGATCGTGGCCTAGTGTAATAACTCATAGGTATGCTTGATGCAGACCAGTGTGCAGGTGAGTAATACCTTGGATCCTGAAAAGTCATAGAAAATTATGGTTTTGTTCATGCTGCTTTTTGGAGAGTGGGTTGGAATACTTTTGATTTTTCTTCCCATCTTACCATGAACAAATTCTCCAATCCTTTGAGGTACACCTCAACTGTCACTCCCTCTATTTAAACTCCTCATCACCTCTTTCCAGATTAATCTCTCTTTCACAAAACACTCAACCTTGACCTTTCTTATGGCTCTCACTGTTTGTTTCATGGAGTCTCCTTTTCTGGACACATCTCGTCTCTCACCGGCTGTGAGCTCTGTGAGGGCTGCTGCAGCCTTTGCCTATTCAGCTATTCCAGAGCACCTTGCATGAAGCAGGAGCTCAAACTGTTGGGGCAGGGACTGCAGAAAAGAGGGAGGGGCTGAAATGTCACAGCCGTGTCTGTCTGGGGAGTCTTGTGTGGTGATAGCTGCATCTCAGGCATGCATTTATTCTCCTAAGCAGTGAGACTATCCACTAACATCCACGGGAAACATATCATTAACCTTCCAGGGGAAACCCCCTCTGAAGCAAGCAGAAAGCCACCTGCTGGGAATGGCACACAGCATGGGGGTTGAAGAGGTATGCGAGGTTAGGAATATAGGAACCAGAAGTCTGATCTATATGGAAAATAGCAGCTCATTAGCACGTGTTAAGCATGGGCCAGGGTGGGTCCCCTGTCAATGCTGCTGGGTGTTTGGTCGCTGGGCGGGACCCACCCCACTGTGGCCAGTCTTGACAGGCTGTTGGCTTGGCAGGCGTGGGGGAGCCCTCCTGTTTCCTCAATGATAAAATGACACCGTCTCTTCATTCTCACCCATGCATCTTCAGATTCCTTTTTTTCGGAACCCATATTCTGCAAGAACACCTCTGGTTTTTACTGTTTTTCAAACAGGCTTCCCTGCCGGGAAGAAAATTTGGCAACCCGTTGACAGGAATATTGCCGTACACTTGGCAATTACATTCAGTTTAAAAAAAATAGTGCTTATTTTGTCAATTATAAAAATAATACATACTTATAATAGAAAATTGGGAAGCATTAAAAACTAGAAAGGAAGAAATAATTATCCATGACTTCACTGCCTAGAACACCCACTGTTAACGTTTCAGTGGATTTCCTTCCAGTCATTTTCTATGAATATTTATGTCCTTGGATTCATTTTCCGGGTATACTCTTCATCTTGCACTTTTCTTTTCTTCTTTTTTTTTTCGAGATGGAGTCTTGCTCTGCTGCCCAGGCTGGTGTGCAGTGGTACAATCTCGGCTCACCACAACCTCCGCCTATGGGTTCAAGTGATTCTCCTGCCTCAGCCTCCTGAGTAGCTGGGATTACAGGCACCCGCCTCCACACCTGGCTAATTTTTGTAGTAGAGATGGGGCTTCACCATGTTGGCCAGGCTGGTCTCAAACTCCTGACCTCAAAGGATCCGCCTGCCTCTTGCACTTTTAACTTAAAGTTGTAACATGAGCATTAGTCCAGAATGGATGAACTTTGGAGATATTTAGTATCTGGCTTTTTACATAAATCCTTCATCGACATCAGTACAATGAAAAGTATACATATTTTTCTATTCACAACAATAGAGACTCATTGTAACAAAAAAGCAAAGATCGCAGGAATATGTAATTTAGAAAGCAAGTTCCTTACACTCCCTCCTCCCCAGATATAATCATCATTATTGGTTAAGGTTTTCTTTACATATATTAATATTTATATATGTAAATGCATGAGCAATTTTTATTTTTCTTAATGGTTACATTGTGAAGTCATCAGAAGATAGGGAAGTATGCAGAATAAAATGGGAACAGCTCCTGGATTCCCAGCCTCGGCCTCCACTCTCTTCCCTAGAGGAAATAACAGTGAAGGATTTGAAAAGTATTCTTCAGCTGTGTTCCAAGGCCTTTACGCACATACATACACACGCTGCTATGTGTTGTTGATGCACGTATTTCTTCCATGTTGTGGCTGCATGTATTCCTTTGCATATTGTCAGTGGCTGCTTTTGCACTGGAGGAGCAGAATTGAGTATGTGTCACCGAGAGTGCTGCTCTCAAAGCCACATGACCTTCACCCCCTGGTTTCATGCCCACGAATATGTTACTTTACATGGCAAAGTGGCTGTGCAGATTAATTAAGGTAAATGGACTTTAAAATAGGGAAGTTATCCTGGGTTTTGAAAGTGGGTCCAGTGAAATCACATGCGCCTTTACAAGCAGAAGAGGAAGGCAGAGAGATTTGAGGCCTGGAGGGCTTGTGCTTGAAGGGCCGGTGGCGGGAAGCAGGGCTCTCAGTCCTATAGCCACAAGGAGCTGTCTTCTGTCCACAGCCTGAATGGTTCTTCCCCAGAGCCTCCACACAAGAGCCCAGCCGGCCAATACCTTGATTTTGGGCATGTGAGACCTCGAGCAGAGAATCCAGCCATGCTCTGCCAGCTTTCTGACCTGTAGGGTGGAGAGAAAAGAAATCATGTTGTTTTAAGTCACTGTGTTTGTGGTGATGTGTTATGCAGTGCAGAAAACAATACAGGTTTGTTTGTTTAGTATTGTAGATGCTTACTATCTGGCTCTTTACAGGCAAAGTGCTGGATTCCCTTATTTCCTTTTTAAGGGCTTCTGAACACTCCATGGTGTATTTCTACCATAATTTATTTGACCACTAGAAGACAAAGTTTTCTCGGACATTCAAGAAATGTAGCAACAAAGTCTTTGTGCACGTGACTAAATACCTCTTTAGGACTGATTTCTAAAACACAATTTCTTTTTTTATTTTTATTTTTTATTTCTTGAGATGGAGTCTCACTCTGTCGCCCAGGTTGGAGTACAGTGGCATGATCTTGGCTCACTGCAACCTCCGCCTCCAGGGTTCAAGTGATTCTGGTGCCTCAGTCTCCCCAGTAGCTGGGATTACAGGTGTGCACCATCACGCCCAGCTAATTTTTGTATTTTTAGTAGAGGTAAGGTTTTGCCATGTTGGCCAAGTTGGTCTTAAACTCCTGACCTCAGGTGATTCACCTGCCTCGGCCTCCCAAAGTGCTGGGACTGCAGGCATGAGCCACTGCGCCCGGCCTAAAACGATGATTTCTGATTCAAGGAGCATACCAATTTTAAATTTTGTTAGACACTGCCAAATTGCCCTCCAGAGAGGTGACAGATAAGCTGAGGTATATGAGGTGCTGCTTAGACAGCAGGTACCAGGATGGCTGGTCAGGCTTGGGAAAGCTCTGAGACTTAGGGTCCTCTGGAAGGTTGCAGAGTCCATTAACAAGGCTCTCTCGTGGACCTGGAAAATGGCAGAAAGTTTGCATCTAGAGGCCTCTCTTGAAGCCTTCCAGCATCACTATCAAATCTAAAGCAAGTCTGCAGCACAGAGTTAAGCGCTGACTGTACGTGGATCGTTTCTGTTCACTTTAAGTCATGTGATGCTCATGGCTAATGGGTGAGGAAGGCCTTATCAACCCTGTTTCAAATGGAATCTGCCACGTGCAGCAGTCTGTCTCCTGAAGGTGGCACAGATGAGCTTTGAACCCAGTTGCTGAGAATCTAAAATCCAATCTCCACCACCCCACCAGAGGGGCAAGTCTATCTCCTGCCCCTTCTGAAACAGCCTGCCCTTCAGAGCAGGCTTTTGCTGAGTGAGAACCGAGCTCAGGAGTGTTCCTGTTCTATTTTCTGGTTTGGATGCTGGTTGTGGAGGTGAACTCACTGTGTGAGAATTCACTGGCCTGCCCCATTTGTGAATGTTTTGTATGTATGCTATACTTTGATTTTTAAAATTTGCTTTAGGAAACAAATCAAAAGATTAGATTGTCTACCTCATACAGCAAAACAAAGCATCTGCCCCCAACATCTGTGGTGGGAAATGATTTCCTTCTGAGACAGACAGCACCAGCAAAAAGGACTATATCGTTCTCTTCCACCCATGTCACTCATTTTCTAACAGAGACCATGCCACATGGCTGCTCTGCTCAGCAACTCCTCACTTCCTGGGCCCCAGCCCTGACCCCTTTGTCTCTCAGTGCTTTCCAACAGCCTTCCTGCCTCAGCCAGCCTTCACTTACCAGTTGCTGACCCCATGGAGCCATCATATAACTCTAGGCCTTCATCCACTTGGGATCCTCTACCCAAACGCCCTAGGTTTGCTAAGAAAGTTCCTAACCTAACAGGAAACCAAGTACCTACCACAGGTTGTCACTTATAAGTGGTTGCTAAACAATGAGAACACATGGACACAAAGAGGGGAACAACAGACACCGGGACCTACTTGAAGGTGGAGGCTGGGAGGAGGGGGAGGATCAGAAAAAATACCTATGGTATGGGTACCATGCCTATTGCCTGGGTGATCAAATAATCTGTATGCCAAACCCTTATGATGCAATTTACCTATGTAACAAATTTGCACATGTACCTGTGAACCTAAAATAAAAGTTAAAAAAAAAGAAAGTTCCAGACCTCACACAGCACGTGGTACATACTAGGCACCTGACATTTGATGACCAAATGAATGAACAAACCGTTACTCTGAGTCTAAACAGCCTCCAACAGACCGCCCCCTCTGCCGACAAGCTTATTCGTGGGCTCAGTTAGATTTCTTATATCAATTTGATCCCAAATCCTTGACCCACTGGCTTTGTTTCTTGACAATGAGGTCACATGCACCAGACAACCATCAGTTCACCTTCCAAAGGAAGTCTCTTCTGGAATCTCCTGAACCACCGCACTGGATGCCACTGGATGGCATCACAGCTTTTCTTCTAGAATCTCTTCAACGTCATCTTGATGATGTCGTTTGCATCTCTCTACATTGGACCTACTATTTCCTGTATCCCCCATATTGTCTTCTCACTTGATTTAGTCTTTCATTTTGTTTGAGAACATCCTTCAGGAGTTTCTTGAGATAGAATGTGTGGGATGTAAATATTTGGAGAACTTACATCTGCAGGTGTCTTTATTTTACTCTTGCCCTTGGTTGGTAGCTTGGCTGAGGAGAGAGGTCATGTGGGCAGGAGGTGGTTTTCAGGCGGAATGGAGGGCATGTTACTGCTCCTTTGCCAGCTGAGTTCTACCATTGCTCTTTAGAAGGCCTTGGCACCTTCCCCCTCTCTCTCATTCCCTCTGTCACTGTGTGACCTCTGCACAAGCAGGCTCCCCTTCACCTCTGCCATGAGTGGAAGCTCCCAAGGCCTCCCCAGGAGCAGATGCTGGCACCGTGCTTCCTGTGCAGAATGCAGAACCATGAGCCAAATATACCTCTTTCCTTTACCAGTTTCCCAGCTCAGGTATTCCTTTGTCACTAAGACAGATACCTATGTCATAATCTCTGGAACCTGTGATCATGTTACTTTACATGACAAAAGAGACTTAGCAAATGGGACTAAGTTAAGGATTTCAGAATTGGGAGATTATTCTGGACTATCTGGGTAGCCCAATGTGATCACAAGGATCCTAATAAGAGAAGCAGGAGGGTCAGAGAAGGAGGTGTGAGGATGGAAGCCAGGGCTAGGGTGGGGAGAGGGAGAGAGACATGACAATGTTAACCTGCTGGCTCTGAAGATGGAGGGAGGGGCCATGAGCCAACCAATGCTGGTGGCCAGTAGAAGCTAGAAAAGGCAAGAAACAGATTTTCCCCTGGATCCTCCAGAAAGGGGCACTGAACAGCCAACACCTGGATTTTTAGCCTTGTGAAACTCATTTTGGATTTCTGACCTCCAGAATTTATAAACTCACGTTGTTTTAAGCCACAAAATGTGTAGTTCTTTTTTAATAGCAGCAATGGGAAATGAACACAAATGCATTCTGTCATTCTGGTTCTTGATCTTCTCTTTCTCTGTCTCCGCATTCTTGTGGGGCGTCTGTCTCCAGCGTCCTAAGGTTGCATGATGATGTGCCTTGGTGGGGCACTTGGTGGGCCCTTTCAATGTGGACACTCATCTTCTAGTTGCCAGATTCCTCCCCCTCTGTCCCCATCCATCTTTGGGCTTCCTCTGTTCTCTTTTTCTGAAACTCTTATTATTTGGATACTGAGACTCATGGACCAGTCCTTTCAGGTTCTGAACTTTTCTCCTTTATTTTCCAACTCTTTCTCTTTCTGTCTACCTTCTGCCCTTTTATCTTCTAAAGCTTCTTTTGAGCTTTTCATTCCAGCAATCATGATTTTAATTCCCAAGAATTCTTTTTGGTTCTCTTGATGTTTATTTCTATTACATTCTGCTGTGTTTCATGGTTGCAATATCTTTTTTTATCTTCCTGGGGATATTAATGACTTTTCTAAAAAAAAAAATGCTTCCTGTGAAAAGCTCTTCTCCAAATTGCCATTCTCTGTTTGTCTATATCCTGGGCCACATCCGTCTCCATTCTAGTCCCACCTTTCGTGTTAGAGATTTTCCTCTCATCGTCTCCACACACCCAGGAGTGGGATACTAACACACGTATTGGAAACTGCAGGCGTGACTGGCCTGCCAACCTGGAGCTTGGCAGGAGCGTGCTGTGCTGGGTCATCTCACTGGGGTAGTCCCTGTGCTATCCCTCAAATTCCATCCAGAAAGATCCTCCAGTTTGTGGCCTCAGGGTGAAAACGTCCAAAAACTGATTAGGAAAGATGGCTAGAGACTTCAGCATCCAAAATACATATAATCTTTTACTTAGATGTGTTGGGATGACAACGCTGACCTCAGCTGTGCTGCTGCTGCTCCCGGTGCAAAAGACTCACTTTTTATCCTCTCCCCAAAATAAATCTCTCGTCTTCTGCTAGGTTGGGAGAAGAACAATCACCAAAAATGCAGAGTGGGGAGCGGGCCTGAGTGTTGGACCTCTCCTTAAACAAACCTTCCTGCAGCCTCCAGGTCACCATCCTTGTCACCTCTACTGCCAGAGACATCGAGTGCCTTGAAGTCCTGGGCTTTCCGGGGATTCTGTGGGGTAAGTCTGGCTGAGCTTCATCTTTCTCCATTGCCAGCTCAGGGCTTGGTCTTCCTGGGGCTGCCAGGTGTGTCATTTCCATGCTCCCTCTGCGTTCCAGCTTCCAGGACTGTGCTGCCGTGCTTCCTCTCCTTTAAAGCAAGTCTTCTATCATCACCAGCGAGGGGCCATGGAAGGAGCAGACTAGACTGCTCAATCTGCTGTCTCCACCTGGCGGACCTACCATGTGATTCACTTACAGACAGTTGGTTTGTTTTTGTTTTTTGTTTCTCTTTTTGACACTGAGTTTCGCTCTTGTTGCCCAAGCCGGAGTGCAGTGGCTCGATCTCGGCTCACCACAACCTCTACCTCCCGGGTTCAAGTGATTCTCCTGCCTCAGCCACCCGAGTAGGTGGGATTACAGGAACCCACCACCACACCTGGCTGATTTTCTACTTTTAGTAAAGATGGGGTTTCTCTATGTTGATCAGGCTGGTCTGAAACTACCGACTTCAGGACCGCCTGCCTCGGCCTTCCAAAGTGCGGGGATTACTGGCATGAGCCACTGCCCCTGGTCAAGAATTGGTTTTTAATGCTTCCTTCCTCCATACAACAGAATTCTTTTCAATAATGATCATTAAACAAAAGGAATAATAATAATGTCCAGAAAAGAACTGCTGTAGATAGTGAAAATTTTTTTATTGAACTTTGTATATGTAATCATGCTGGCACATATGTTAAAAAAAGGTAAAAAGTCATGGATTAATTTTTTTAATCATAATTTTTAAAGGGGATTATTTTACTGCAGTTCACACACTGTTTCATTGTTTTACATTTTAAACAGAAATAGCTGGGCGGATCACCTGAGGCCAGGAGTTTGAGACTAGCCTGGCCAACATGGTGAAACCCCGTCTCTATGAAAAATACAAAAATTAGCCAGGCGTGGTGGCACATATCTGTAGTCCCAGCTACTTGGGAGGCTGAGGAGAAGAATCGCTTGAACCGGGGAGGCAGAGGTTGCAATGAGCTGAGATCGCACCACTGCACTCCAGCCTGGGTGACAGAGTGAGACTCCAGCTCAAATAAATAAATAAATAAATAAAAATTTTAAACAGAAATAAAAACTTCAAGTTACCTATAAAAGAATAACAGAACTGAAGTAATTCAAGTTCTGTTTCTTCCCCTGCAGAATCACTGTTAGCATTGTTTATTTTGAATCTACTGCTTAAAAGCAGGAACGTGTTGTGTGCAGACCATTGACAGGTTGGAAATAGGAGTTCAGAGAGTGCTTACGTGATTCCACACTTACAAGGAATGTATGTAGCTGAATCTGCCAGCACTGGGGGCCAACCTTGTAACTGGGAGTTCTCTGAATTAACTTCCATTAGCATGCATTCTTGATTAAAAGGTAAGTAATAAACATGCGCTAACTCAAAGTGTGCACATACACACTGAAAATGTAGCATGTTTTATTACATATTGATTTTATATATTTTCTTAAGTATACATTTATTCTATATATAAATGTGAAATACATACATAATGTGAGTATATATGTGTGTGTATGTTTACATATATATATATAAAATGTCTCCATTGTCAATGCCTCCTCATCCTTGAATCTAGGGAAACTGTTTCCACTGCACTGCCCTTAGGACATATGTCACATTCTGGAAATTCTAAAAAAATATTTTTAATGAAAAATTCTTTGACCACCCACTGTCCTCCAGATAAAAGCAGGAAGCTTTTATCTGTGTTCTCTTAATATACATATTTAACGGAGTCCTCTTCTGGGTCATGTTGGCTCACTGTCACCAGGTCAGGCAAGTCCATGTTACCAGCACCTTCGGTTTAATGCTGAAATCAAAAGCCCTCCTCTGATTAAGTTCAGGAGCAGCTTCCGCTCCCATCCAGCTCCGTGAGAGTGGATGATTTCCCTGGCCATATGGCAGGTGGAGGGAGTGATTAACCCCCTGTGAGGCCTCTGTGTTCCTTGGCTCTGCCGGCTCCTCCCTCCTCGAGCAGCCCGAGGCCCACCTGTGAATCTCGAGCATCTGCCGGCAGGCCCAGCCTGGTCATCAGCAGCTCTATGGCTGCTGTGTGTCTGTATTTGTATTACTGTATTTTATAAGACAGCTGCCCCCTTACTTTTCTGCCTCAGCTTTTGAACTTTCCTTTGCACGTTGTCACCAGTGATAAAGCTGATGCTGTCTCTAAGGGCGGGTGAAGCTGACAGCCCTTTTTCACCTGGCTTCATCCAAGGCCCATCCACAGTCCTGGGCCTGAGTGAGCAAGGGACCCTTGCTTTTTTCTTTTTTAAATGTGGATATGCAACTAAATGTTTTATTTTCTACACTGTCCTGGAAGAAGCAATAGGTCAGCCAGACCAGAGGCCCTCTTGAATATATAGCCTCTAGTTAACCGTCTTACAGAAAACTCAAACTCTTTCCCTTCATCATATCATCTTTTTCTCCTACAACTTTTATTTTAACAAACTTCAAATACACCCCAAATGTTAAAAGAATAATACAATGAAAAACGATATAACCTGTCAATTCACCAACTGTTAACATTCTATCACATTTTGTTTTAGAATTTTCTCTCTTCATATACACACACATACACACATATACATTTTAAAACATCATTTGAAATTAAATTTCAGTCATCATATTCTACCTGTAAATACATCAACATGTATTTCTTAAGAGATATTCTCCTGCACAAAACTCAGCAAATTTAACATTATTGATACACAGCATTGCTTAATATATAGTTTATATTCAAATTTCCCCAATTGTACCAACAGCATTCTTTACAGATTTATTTGATCAATAACCTAATCAAAGATGGCTTTCATTTGCTGTGCTTCTTCATCTCCTTTAAGCTAGAATAGTTCCCCTTCATTTATGTGCACCTGTGTATGTGTTTTGTGACATTAATATTTTTAGAGCCCAGGCTAGTTGATTTCCAGAATGTCCTGGATTTGAGTTTTCCTGAAGCTTATTTGTGATTAAATTTGGGTTCTTGAAAAGAATACCAGAGAAGTGATCCTCTGCCCCCAGTGTAACTCAACAGGTGGGACATGATGCCTCTTTGCTCCTTTATTGCCCAAATTAGGATTGCTCTGGCTGGGCACGTTGGCTCACACCTGTAATCCCAGCACTTTGGGAGGCCGAGGCAGGCAGATCACTTGAGGTCAGGAGTTCGAGACCAGCCCGGCCAATATAGTGAAACCCTGTCTTTACTAAAAATACAAAAATTAGTCGGGTGGGGTGGCACACGTCTGTAATCCTATCTAGTCAGGAGGCTGAGGCAAGAGAATCACTTGAACCTGGGAGGCGGAGGTTGCAGTGAGCTGAGATCACGCCAATGTACTCCAGCCTGGGCGACAGACCAAGACTCCGTCTCAAAAAAAAAAAAAAAAAAGAAATAGGATTGATCACTTCATTAAGGTATCAGTAGAGGTAGAGATGCAAAGAGCCCTCCCTCTTTGCAAGAAACCAGGCTTTTAAATCCTTTCTTGCATTGTAGTTTCTATCCAAGTGCTGTGCACATAGTAACTGACAGTCAAAATAGAAGAAAAGCAAATATCTGTTGGGCTTTCTCTTTTTTTTTTTTTTGGAGATGGAATCTCGCTCTGCCACCCAGGCTTGAGTGCAGTGGTGCGATCTTGGCTCAGTGCAAGCTCTGCCTCCCAGGTTCACACCATTCTCCTGCCTCAGCCTCCCGAGTAGCTGGGGCTACAGGCACCCACCACCACGCCCAGCTAATTTTTTGTATTTTCAGTGGAGATGGGGTTTCACCATGCTAGCCAGGATGGTCTCGATCCCCGACCTTGTGATCCGCCCGCCTCAGCCTCCCAAAGTCTGTTGGACTTTCTCTACAGGTCACATATAATATCTCACTTAATTCTGTCAACCTGAGAGTCATCCTTATCCCCATTTTACAGATGAGGTAGTTGATGCTGAGAAAGATTAGGTGGCACCCTAAGAGGTATACTGGGAGTCAGACGCATGATCTGTGTCATTTCCCTGCCCTACCCTAACGAGAAGTCTGTTCCCATCTCCTTAGTCTGGGGCAGTGGAAATGGTGCCTGACTTGTTTCTGTAAACTTTGGCAATGGGAATACCCTGGGACTCTAAAAACCTCCACTGGCCAGACATGGTGGAAAGTGTCTTTAAAACCATGTCAGAGCTCCTGTTTCCAAAGCAGATGTTTGGGTCAGCGCTCATTTATTACTTGCTGACATCGAGTAACCTCTTAAATCCTGAAAATTCTAGTTTTGAGAAATCAGACTGTCACTAACAAGTCAGCATGTCAGAATAAATAAAGCAGAAAATTGAAGCACGTTATGTTGGCTTTCCCAAAGGCATTCTAGAGATCACTAATAGAGCACTCAAAGGCACGAAAAGGCGGGGCTGCTCATGGCCTCTTGGCATCCCAGCTCCCTTTCTTTCACATGGAAATAGGACCTCCCATTTTTAGCTGGGCAGATGGCTGCCCATATGGCTGCCCAGAATAAGAACTACATTTCCCAGCCTTCCTTATAGCCAGGCTCCATCATGTCGGCACACCATGTGAGCCACATGTACAATTCCCAGCTACATCCTTAGAGGAAAGAGGCCTGTCCTCCCTCTCCCCCTTTCATCTGGAGCATAGAAGGTGGACGAGGTGAAGACTGTATTGTAAATATAGCAATGGTGGAGGTGAATAGGGAATGCCTTGTGACTAGGGACATGGCTGGGTGGAACACAGATGTGCAAGGGTGAGTGAGCCCCACATGGGACCATGTGGATGGGGCCGTGTCCTGGGATGGCTGAAGGAGCTGGGGTTTCTCGCTGAAAAGCCTCTTACCAGCCCTGAACTGCTCATGCCCATACTATTATGTAAGAGAAATACACATCTTTCTTTCTAAAGCCACTCTGATTTGGGAACATTGTTTAGGACAGCTGAACCCATGTCCAAACTAATACCCCAGGCCAAATCAACTTCATCTTCTCCCAACTGTCCTAGTCCACTTACACTGCCATTCTAAGCACAGCTGGCACCTCCACACATGCTTTTGCTGATGAGCCTTGCATAGGCCATTTCCTCTCTTCCCCTCTCTTCCTCTGCCTGGTAAACTCCTGCTCAACCTTCCACGCTCCACCCAGATACCCACTCCTCCTGGAGCCTTCCCTACCTCCTATCCCTTGCCAGGCAGGATTCATTACTTCCTCCTCTTTGAGCCTATATGAAACTGTCTGTAGCTCTCTTAGCATTTACCCTGTGGTGCCCTAATTATTCGCTGCTGTGTTGATCTCTCAAACTAGACTGAAGTTTCCTTAGAATCAGGGACCTAATTTCCTGCAGGTTTGAATCCCCAGCACTAACTTTGTAAAAGGCACTAGGAAATCTTTGGTGACTGGATGAATGAACACAGATGATATAATTACATGTGTACCCATACAGATCCTCATTCTTTTAAAAAGTGTTTCCTTCTTTGCTAAGACAACACTTGTGAATAGCACACCCATTCCTCCTACAGAAACTCAACGAGCACAAATCTACTATTACATAATACATAAGCCAGGGGATTCATTATACATTGCGTGAAAACCTGCTTTGCAGATTTGTCAGGTCTCCTTAACAAAACAATCCTGCCATAGACCCACCCGCTCTGGTATTGCAGCGACTGCAGGATTTTAAATCAAAGGCTTTTCTCAGTCTCTCTCTGTCTTCTTTCAGCTCAGAGCAGGCAATCTGGACTGCAGTACTAGCAGTTTCCAGAAAATGCTCAGGCGTGCTCACAGCTAACAAAGAGATGAGCGCTATTTCCTGCCCTGGAACGCTGGAGAGTTCAAGGGCTTCTGAGGCTAGAGTGTTCTGATCCAGTGAGTGTCATGCTTTGCTTTGATTCTGTGTCAGATATCACACCAACTCCAGCAAGTCTGCAGGTGCATTTTATACTAATTTTGTACTAACACTAATATTGTTATTCAAAATTAATTTTCCCTGTCTAGAAATATAATTCTAGCATTTTCTAGGTTTTGACACAACTTGTATGCAAGTCTTAGAACCCTTCCATGCCCATGGCACGCTGCTGGATGTGTCTCAGAACTCATCTGGAAACCCTCTGGGACTGAATCTGCCCCATTTTAAACACTCCTGTAGATGGCCTCTCTGTTCTCATGTTGAGCATGGATTTTATTTTTATGGAGATTTATCTTAAATATCCTTAATTTGTAAATATCCTGAAATTATTCTCAGAAAAAAATCCACTGTCTAGCTCATCCCTCTAACTGAGGATTTTAAAAATTAACTGAGAACACGGATTCCCTTCTCTGGGCATGCATTACTAAAGTCCATAGAATGCCTATATTATCCATTTATGTGCTTTTTGCTTAATTTTCTGTCTCCTTGAGCTAATACATAAGCTTCAATAAGAGTGGGCGCCTGTTCATTCTCGCTGTATCCCCAACACCTGGCACGTGGGAGGCACTGGATGGATCTGCAGAGTGAATGCATGATTGTGTCTTCTTGTGTAGATGCCTTTGCTGCCTCAGGTGATCACTTGAGTGGGCCATGCCTGGGCTATTGGAAAAGCAAGGCTTGTTTTGAGTGCTTGTCGCCCTGCTGTCTTCACTCCTCCTCCTTCCCTCTGTCAAGCATGTGGCACCAGGCTGACCCCCAGGCCTCTGCTCTTGCCATCAACACATGCTGTCTCCCCTTATGGTTCAAGATTTTTGTTTTGTTTCCCTGATTTCTTTCAAGCACCCCCTCAGGTTAATTAGATTAACTAATTTGTCCATAAGATGGATCATTTTGAATGCCTTAAATACTTTGGACAAAAATTAAGATTGGCTGGGTGCGGTGGCTCACGCCTGTAATCCCAGCACTTTGGGAGGCCAAGGCTGGTGGATCACGAGATCAGGAGTTCAAGACCAGCCTGGCCAAGATGGTGAAACCCTGTCTCTACTAAAAATACAAAAATTAGCCAGGCGTGGTGGCAGGCGCATGTAATCCCAGCTACTCGGCAGGCTGAGGCAGAGAATTGCTTGAACCCAGGAGGCGGAGGTCGCAGTGAGCCAAGATCGTGCCACTGCACTGCAGCCTGGGTGACAGAGCGAGACTCCATCTAAAAAAAAAAAATTAAGGTTATTTTCAGAAGATAGTGGCAAAGATATGTTTTTCAAAAGGGACTAAATCAGGACAGTCTTAAGTAAGCAGACAAGGAAGGCTGTCAGTTTCTTATGTAACAGTGATATCAGGGGACAAGGATATCATTGATACAATGATACTGTTGTTACATACGGAGAGAGAGAGAGAGAGAAGAGGAGAGAGAGTGCATACTGCCAAGTTTTCAACAGACACAGAGTCCCATTCAACAGATATTTATTAAACCTCTACTCTGCACCAGGTGCTCTTCTAGATGCTGAGGACAAGACAGACAGAGTCTCTGTTCTCTAGGAACATCCATCCTACATCAGCACTGTCCAGTGGAAATAGAGTGGGAATCACAAATGCAAGCCACATGGGATTCTAAAATTTTCTAGTAGGACTAGACAACATAGCAAGACCCTATCTCTATAAAATTAAAAATTAGCCAGGTGTGGTGGCATGTGCCTATAGTCCCAGCTACTTGGGAAACTGAGGTGGGAAGAGCGCTTGAGCCTGGGAGGTCCATGCTGCAGTGAGCTGTGATTGTGTCACTGCACTCCAGCATGGGTGACAGAGCAAGACCCTGTCTCAAAAAACAACAACAACAAAAATTCTAGTAGACACATTAACAAAGTAAAAAGAAACAAATGAAATTAATTTTAATAATAAATTGTGGTTAATCCAATATATCCAAAGCATTCTCATTTCAACATACAATCAATATGAAAATGATTAAGATATTTTACATTCTTTTTTTAGGCTAAGTCTTCAAAATCCAGTGTGTATTTGACACAGCACATCTCATTTCAAACAAGTCATACTTCAGGTGCTCATAGCCATCAATGGCTAGTGGCTACCACATCAGACAGTGCCATTCTAAACAATAAGCAAGCCAATAAATACAGATATAATACATAATAAAGATGTATATAAATAGGCCAGGCTCAGTGGCTCACGCCTGTAATGCCAACACTTTGGAAGGCTGAAGTGGGTGGATCACGAGGTCAAGAGATCAAGACCAGCCTGACCAACATGGCAAAACCCTGTCTCTACTAAGAACACAAAAAATTAGCCAGGCATGATGGTGGGTGCCTGTAATCCCAGCTACTCAGGAGGCTGAGGCAGGAGAATCACTTGAACTTGGGAGGCGGAGGTTGCAGTGAGCCAAGGTCGCACCATTGCAGTCTAGCCTGGATGACAGAGCAAGGGTCGCTCTCAAAAAAAAGAAAGAAAGAAGGAAGGAAGGAGGGAGGGAAAGAAGGAAGGAAAGAAAAGAAGGGAAATTTTTCTTCTTTTTTTGAGACAGAGTTTCACTCCTGTTGCCCAGGCTGAAGTACAATGGCGTGATCTCGGCTCACCACAGCCTCCACCTCCTGGGTTCAAGCGATTCTCCTGCCTCAGCCTCCCCAGTAGCTGGGATTACAGGCATGTGCCACCACGCCTGCCTAATTTTGTATTTTTAGTAGATACGGGGTTTCTCTGTGTTGGTCAGGCTGGTCTCCAACTCCCAACCTCAGGTGATCCGCCTGCCTCGGCATCCCAAAGTGCTGGGATTACAGACGTGAGCTACTGTGCCCGGCCATGAAAGAAGAGAAATTAATTCTAAATGTTACTACCCTCCATACCAGCTTTGCCTGACTAATTGGCTCCCTTCCTATGTAGGCTGCCATCTCTTCATAATCTGACTTGGTTGTGCTACTTCAATACAGCAGCCTTTTCACACCTGTCACAGTGCTCCCTAGGTTTTGGTTTCATCTCCAAATAAACACAGAGAGCTTTAACTTAGAGGTAGAACTACATGTTGTTTCCAACATTTTTGAACTTGGTCTTTGTGAACTGCTTTTGGTGCCACAATTTTGTCTTTTCCAGCATTTTGTTCTTTGTCACATGCCCAGGTCCTCCCAGACCTCTCTTCTTATGGTCCTCCCAGCACTGTCAGGCAGTAGCCCAGATGTGGATTGGTACACATCCCTCTACTCGGCTGAAAATTTGCATGTTCTTGTGTTGATATATCACATTATATCCTGAGGCAGAAGAAAACTAAAAGATTCTGAAGGATTGAAAGAGTTTTCTGCTGCAGTAGCAATAGTTCAAATACCATATTAGTCAGGGCAAGTAATGCTAGCTGCCGTCATAGACAAATCCAAATCTCATTGGTTTAACCCAACTAAGAGGTTATCTCTTATTTGCTTCACAGACCAATGCAAATTGTTGGTGGTGGCAGGGGTTACTCTGCTCCATGTAGTCTGTAGTCATTCAAGGACCCAGGCTCTTTCCATTGTGCAGCTCCACACCATCTAGGAATCCTCCACTCTTCATCTAGTTGGTAGACAAGCGACAACACAGAGAGAGAGGTTTTCTAGGTCAGGCCTGGTCACAGTACATAGCACTTCCCTCCACGCTCCATTGGCCAGAAGTCAGCCTCACAAGCCCAAGAGGCTACAAGGGTGTCTGGAAAATGTAGTCTAGCAGAACGGCCATGGGGAAGAAGCTTGGCGATCCCTGCCACAAATATGGCTTTAATACGTCATGGAAATCACAGTTTTGTCCAAAGCTGCACAGCTAAGTGAGCCAGGGATGGTTTGAAAACCATAAAGAATGGATTTGTTCTTAGGGGGACACTCTGCCTTAAGTTGCTTTGCTAATAATTATTTAAATCCCAGCATCTGAGAGTCTAGAGAGACTGGAGAGTTATTTGTTATGGTTTTCTAGTAGTTGCTTGGTTTCCTTTTCTTTTCTTCTTTTTTTTAAGAGACAGGGTTGGCTGGGCGCGGTGGCTGATGCCTATAATCCCAGCACTTTGGGAGGCAGAGGCGGACGGATCACTTGAGGTCAAGAGTTCAAGACTAGCCTGGTGAACATGGTGAAACCCCGTCTCTACTAAAAATACAAAAAATTAGCCAGGTATGCTGGTGGGCACCTGTAATCCCAGCTACTGGGGAGGCTGAGGCAGGAGAATTGCTTGAACCCAGGAGGTGGAGGTTGCAGTGAGCCAAGATCACGCCATTGCACTCCAGCCTGGGTGACAGAGTGAGACTCCATCTCAAAAAAAAAAAAAAAAAAGAGAGAGACAGCGTCTCGCTCTGTCACCCAGGCTAGAGTCCAAAGGTGAGATAATAGCTCACTGCAGCCTCAAACTCCTGGGCTCGAGCAATCCTCCTGCCTCAGCCTCCTCAGTAGCTAAGACTACCGGTGCACATAACCACACCCAGCTAATTTTTAAATGTTTTTTGTCTTGTTATGATGCCCAGGCTGGTCTCAAACTCCTGGCCTCAAGGGTTTCTCCTGCCGTGGCCTCCCAAGGTGCTGGGATTATAGGTGTGAGCCACCACACCCGGCCTAGTTTCCTTTTTTTATATCTAGAGCTCTGATCCATTTGAAATTTGTTCATGTGTGAGGAAGATATGAAGATGGACCTTTTTCCAAAAAGCTTACCAGCTGTCTGGGGTTATTTGTTTAAAAATCCACCTTTGTCTCAGTTGATTTGAGATGCCACCTTCATCAAATACTAAATTTCTATATGAGGGTGGGTTTATTTTTAGACTTTCTATTCTATTTCACTAGTCTGTTTGTCTATTTATGTGCCAGTAGCACACTGTTTAAAACGTATGCTTTCATGTCTGGTAAGGCATTCTTGCCTACCAGACATTAAAGGCTCTTCTTGCATTTTTAAAATAAGAGCTTTAGTATCAATTATCTAGCTCCACAAAGGAGTTTGTTGCTATTTTTATTGGGATTGTTTAACACTTATAAATGAAAGAGGACTGGCATCTTTCTGATGTTGTCATCCTATCCAAGAATAAAGAAAGTCTTTCCATTTGTTCATATCTTTTTCTGTGTCTTTCAGGGGGGTTTAATACGGGTTTTGCATATTTCTTGTTAAGTTTGTTCCTAAATATTTTATCTTCTTTGTTGTATTGGAGATTTTCTCTCCCTTAATATCCTCTAACTAGTTATTTTTCAAACATGAAATTCATTTATGTTTCATTTACACTTCATACACATAGCCTGAAGGTGATTTTATACAATATTTGAATTTTTTTTTTTTTTGAGAGGAAGTCTCTGTCACCCAGGCTGGAGTGCATTGGTGTGATCTTGGCTCACTGCAAAGCTGGGACTACAGCTGGGACTACAGGTGCGTGCCACCATGCCCCGCTCATTTTGGTATTTTTAGTAGAGATGGGATTTCACCATGTTGGCCAGGCTGGTCTTGAACCCCTGGCCTCAAGTGATCAGTCTGCCTCGGCCTCCCAAAGTGCTGGGATTACAGGCGTAAGCCACCATGTCTGGCCAATAGTTAAAATAATTTTGTGCATGAAGCAAAGCATGAATGCCTTGAACCATCAGAAAGCAAACGGGTTACTTTCTCAACCACCCATATCAACAATCTGCAGCATCATGATAGAACTCAAAAAGTTTTGAATTTTGGATTTTTGGATTAGAGATGTTCAACCTATATCTTATGAATTTTTATTTCTTTACTTTTGAGCCTCAGTGTTTTCAACCTGTGAAGTTCCTAAGAGACACCTGAGGAGTATCTTCAAATACAGATTCAGATACTGCCTTCCCCATCCAAGGTGGCAGGAAAATGTCAGGGAAGGGGGAGAGTTTTGTGGTGCTCTCCTTCTCTGGTCAAATCCCATTGGTTAATACCCAGACTGCAAACAGCACAGATGCAGGAGTCACAGAGAGTGGGGCTGGGCTGAGCAATGGGCTCAGCACCCTGTGAGTTATTGGGCTCAGCACCCTGTGAGTTATTGGATTGCCTGCCTGAGAGGACCAAGGAGAGAACCACCTCTCAGCAGTAGAAGCAAGGCATAGATATGCAAACTGCACAGAGACTGGGAATGCAAATGACAATAGCAGCCATGGGCAACAGAGCTGGAACTCCAGAGCAGAGCTGAGCACTAGGAAGTGAGAACCTTAAGGTAAGCCCCCAAAGGTGTGAGGACAGTGGCTTGAGACCCCTGTGGTTGCTTACTTATTTATGGAGATGGAGTCTCCTCTGTTGTCCAGACTGGAGTGCAATGGTGCGATCTCAGCTCACTGCAACCTCTGCTGGATTCAAGCAATTCTCCTGCCTCAGCCTCCGGAGTAACTGAGATTACAGGTGCCTGCCACCATGCCTGGCTAATTTTTTTTTTTTTTTTTTTTTTTGAGACGGAGTTTTGCTCTTGTTGCCGAGGCTGGAGTGCAATGGCTCAATCTGGGCTCACCACAACCTCTGCCTCCTGGGTTCAAGCTATTCTCCTGCCTCAGCCTCCCGAGTAGCTGGGATTACAGGCATGTGGCACCATGCCCAGCTAATTTTGTATTTTTAGTAGAGACGGGGTTTCTCCATGTTGGTCAGGCTGATCTCGAACTCCCAACCTCAGGTGATCTGCCCACCTTGGCCTCCCAAAGTACTGGGATTACAGGTGTGCACCACCATGCCTGGCTGCTTATTTACATATTCACATGTTTACTCTTGGACTTCAGGTGCAGAGGGCTGAGCCAATTACCCTCCTAATTTTGTGCCACTTCATGTGGTTGGCTCAGGGATGGTTGTTTTCTTCTTTTATTCTATTTCTATTTTTCTTCCTTCTTATTTACTTACTATTTTATTGTCTACTATTTACTTAGTACTTTAATTTTTATTATCCTTTTATTATTTAGTGTTGTTGCTATTTTTTACTTATCATTTTCTGTATCCCTCTCCCATGCTCCTTCCAAGCAAATTCAACCCATCTATTCTGTTTATAGTTCATGTTTTTCATAAAATATGTTTTGCTTGGGATGACTACGTTTTTAAATACATGTAAGTAGACTGTGTTGTAGATTTCATTCTGTGTTTCGCTCTGTCCCCCGGCACCCTGTATATAACATCCATCCTATTGTTTTGGATACCTCTGACCTTTGCTTCCAATTCTGCGTGACTTTCCATGGTGTGTCTAACATATCATACCTTCCACTCCCACGGAGATGGACGTTCAGGACACATGGACATCCAACCACAAAGAATGTGCTGACCCTCTGGACCTGTGTGAGCTGGAAAGGGAGACCCCAGCCATGGGGTGCGTGCGCTGACCTCCACTGAGCCGTGGCTGCCCACCCCCCAGAGAGGCAGGACCTCCCCCACAGTGCCCACCTGCCAGCCCTCCCACTGCCGAGCTATCCATGCCCCAATCCAGTGCAGCCTAGCATAGTCTGCTACAATGTGCCCGTGTTATTTAACTGTGCCTTTCTCTGACTGCTAATGATTTTGAGCCTCTCTTCAATGAGCATATTGGCTTTTTGAGATTCTGTTTCTGTCAATTCCCTATTCATATCCTTTGTCTTTTTTTTTTTTTTGAGATGGAGTCTTTGTTGCCTAGGCTGGAGCGCAGTCGTGCAATCTCAGCTCACTGAAACCTCCACCTCCCATGTTCAAGAGATTCTCCTGCCTCAGCCTCTTGCCTCAGCCTCCTGAGTAGCTGGGATTACAGGTGCCCGCCACCACGCCTGGCTCATTTTTGTCTTTTTAGTAGAGACGGGGTTTCACCATGTTGGCCATTGTTGGTCAGGCTGGTCTCAAACTCCTGACCTCAGGTGATCTGCCTGCCTCGTACTCCCAAAGTGCTGGGATTACAGGTGTGAGCCACTGCATTTGGCTTTTTTTTTTTTTCTGTTAGGACAGCTATTCTAATTATTCCTTCTTGTTGTTCTTCCTTCTTGTTGATTTTCAAGTGTTCCTTATACACTTTACAAATCAATTTCCATTTGTATTTGGCAAATATTTTCACCTCTTCTTTGTCTTCTCCCATGCCCATGGTGTCCTTTGTAGAAAGGACATTCTTGATTTTTATGTAACCAAATTTGTTTATTTGCCTTATGGTTTTGTTTTTAAATTTGTTTTAAATTTATTTTTAACTGACAAATAATAATTGCGTGTTTTGTTTTTTTGAGATGGAGTCTTGTTCTGTCACCCAGGCTGGAGTGCAGTGGTGCAATCTCAGCTCACTGCAGCCTCCGCCTCCTGGGTTCCAGCGATTCTCCTGCCTTAGCCTCCTGAGTAGCTGGGACTATAGGTGCGTGCCACCATACCCATTTAGTTTTTGTATTTTTAGTAGACACAGGGTTTCACCATGTTGCCCAGGCTCCTCTTGAACTCCTGACTTCAAGTGATTAGCCCGCCTCAGCTACCCAAAGTGCTGGGATTACAGGCGTGCACCACCATGCCCAGCCAATAATTGTGTTATTTATGGGGCACAATGTGATGTTTTGATCTATGTACACACTTTAGAAAGATTAAGTCAAACTACTTAATATATCTATCACCTCACCAACTTATTTTTTTTGATGATAAAAATCTGTTTTTTAGGAAATTTGAAATATACAATGCATTACTACTAACTATGGTCACTGTGCAGTGCAATAGATCACTAAAACGTATTCCTCCAGCCTAACTGAAACTTTGTACCCTCTGATCAACATCTTCCCTTTCCCTATTACTCCCTCTCCCCATCCCCTGGCAACCACCATTCTGCTCTCGGTTTCTATGAGATCGACTTATTTAGATTCCACAAATAAGGGAGATTATATAGTATTTGTCTTCCTGTGTCTGGCTTATTTCATTTAGTGCAATATCCTTCAGTTCCATCCACGTTGTCACACATGACAAGATTTCCTTCCTTTTTAAGGCTGTATAGTACTCCATTGTGTGTATGTACATACCACATTTTCCTTATCCATTCATTCGCTGATGGGTACTTAGGTTGCTTCCATTTTTCGGCTATTGTAAATAATGCTGAAATGAAGACAAGAATGCAGATATCTCTTTGACATACCTTTGGATTTAAATTATCTAGGACATACACCCAGGGATGAGATTGCTGGATGGTAAGTGTTTTTAAATTTTAATTTAAGAAGTTCTTCCCTTCACCTGAGTAACTAAGATATTCTCCTACATTCTCCTCTATTAACTTTTCAAGTTTATCTTTCACTTTTAGGTCTTTAATCCATATGGTGTTAGGTAGAGATTTGGCTTTATTTTTCCAATACCATTTACTTAACCACTTGCCACCTCTGGTTGTTACTCTTTTGTGGGGAGATATTAGTGATTCAACTAGATTCATATCCACATTGAAAATATTGGAAAAAATTATACACATGTCCCCAAGTTAATTTGCTTGGCATGCCTAAATTTAAATCATCCATTCAATTCTTTCAGTTATTCTTCATTAATCCCTTTATTTTAATAGCTTCAAGCCCTTTTAAATGTTGTGAGATAACAACTACATCCTGGTAAACTAAGGTTGCCAGGATCCTCAGTTAAATGTGAATTTCAGAAAAATAATGAGTAACTTTTTTAGTATAAGTATGTCTGTCTGGGCGTGGTGGCTCGTGCCTGTAATCCCAGCACTTTGGGAGGCTGAGGTGGGCAGATCTCCTGAGGTCAGGAGTTTGAGACCAGCCTGGCCAACATGGTGAAACCCTGTCTCTACTAAAAATACAAAAATTAGCCAGGCGTGGTGGCACACACCTGTAATCCCAGCTACTTGGGAGGCTGAGGCAGCACAATCGCTGGGACCCAGGAGGTGGAGGCTGCAGTGAGCCGAGATCGTACCACTGCACTACAGCCTGGTCAGCAGAGCAAGATTCTGTCTCAAAAAAATAATAGTAATAATAAGTATGCCCTATGCAACATTTGGGACACACTTATACTAAAAGGTTATTGATTGCATATTTGAAATTCACATTTAACTGAGCATTCTGTATTTTATCAGGTAACTCTATGGTATATCCAACCCAAAGGAACCTGTCCTACTCAGTCTTCTTGCCCTCCCCAACCCCTGCACCATTGCCCCCAGTTCCTGACCTGAGTCTTTCCAAATAACCTACCCTTAAATGAATATCTCAGTACTTCGCTAAGGGTTTAACTGGTAAAGCACTTTTTCACTAGCATCAATTATCACACTGTTGCTCTCAATTGTTAACCTGCTTACAGGTCACCGGGAACCTTGTTAAAATGCAGACTGTGATATAGTGGGTCTTGGATGCGGCCTGAATTCTATATTTCTAACAAGCTCCCAGGAGAGGTCTATGCTGCTGGTCTGGGGCCCACACGTTGGTAGGAAGGTTTTGCACATATCCCTCGGGGGCCTGGCTGTCAAACCTGCAAGCTGTTAGGAACCAGAACAAAGCCCAACTTGGCCCCCTATGCTCCTTTCTCTGACACTAAAGCCCAGAATTAGACAAGAGCCAGAGTTAAAGGAAAGCGAGGTTGCTGCGCACATGCAGGCAGCTCTCCTGGAGTCCTCGCAAGCTTCTCCTCCGGCTGTTGGAGCTGGATGCTCCCACCACTTGGCTTCCTGTGGGAACCATTGCTTTACCTTTGTGTCCCCTCCACACCCACTCACCTGCTTCTCTGGCTGTGATGATCTTGTCTTCTCATCCCTCTTCCTTGTTGGATGACAAATAATGTGTGGGGAGAGACGGTGGTGTGATCTCCGCATCTAGCTCGATGTCCAGCCTATGGCAGGTGCTTAGCAGATGCATAGAAGCTGAATGAATGAACGAAACGGTAAATGAATACTGACTTCTGTTGTCCAGAGTGTCCTGGAAACAATTTTTGTTTCACTTTTAAGGGGTGCCTGTAAAGTACTGTTTTGCTGTGACCATTGGTGGAGTCCTGACTGAGTCCTTGGATGTTTTCCTCTTTCGGTTTCTCATTTTTTCAGTTTCCAAATCCTCAAGTACAGAGCAACATCTTGTCCTGTTTCTTTGACATCCCTTGCCCCCTTAGGGACTTCAATGTGCCAACTGCTTGGCTTATGGAATCCCTATTTCCCCTTCTTCCTGCTGCTGAGCCTTGTTTTTGCTGGTCCAAAAAGGTCCCTTAGTTTTATTCAATTCACAGTTCAGGCCTTCTCTTCTCCCAGACACCTCTTCGGCAGGCCCCTCCACTAACATTGTCCACTGCCTCCCGCCATCTTTCTACCTGCCAGGAACTTTCACAACGGCTAAGTCAATAGGTTAAGTGACGGAACCAAAGCTGGCTAACTTAAGCCAAAAGGGACTTTGTTGTAGGCCTTTTGTGTAGCTCATAGAGTAAACAGGACTGCAAGACCAGGCCCAGAAACAATAGCTCAGGGTTTAGGACATGCAGCAGGCCTCCCTCAGCAGGAGCACCTGGCCACCTCTCCTGGCACACACATTAGAATGGGGGAGCGCTGCCTGTACCCTCAGTTCACAGTGCTCTGCTCAGCAGTCCATGTGAGAGGGAGTCCTGTCGGCCTTCTCAGGCCCTGGGCCAGCCCTAGGCTGAGGGAGTCACTTTGATTGACAGTTGCCCCAGGAACATGCAGCGATGTAGAGTTCACTAAAAGGAAGTACAACTGTGGTTAGAAAAGAAAGAGCATTGCCTAGTGTTTCAAAAACAAAGAAAACAAATGTTCACATAGACCTGCTACAGATTTGAAGGCTAGGAGAGAGGCTTGTGGCAGAGTGTGAGTGAGAGATCCCAAGCATCCTAATTCCTGGTTTCTAATTTCTTTTCATACCTGAAACACTAAGAATCCATTGGGAATGAATGGCGGTGATGTAAATAGTACCCTTGTTCTCATCTGGATTTGGCTGCCAGGTTACAAGTTGCTCCATAACTCTGGACAAATCACCTCACCTCTCTTGTCTCAATTGCTTTGTCTACAAAATGACACTTTAAGACTAGATGATGTCTCGGACACCTTCCAGCTATAAAGTTCCCCCCAAGGCTTTCCAGTTTTGCTTAATACACAAGGGAATGTGCACTTAGCATTGCATAAGGTAGCTTGGCTTTGTAAGATACGTGTTATCAGGTACGTGGTGTTTCCAAAGCAGTTTAGAGGGAGAGGTGACACTGTTTCACAGATAAGAATATAGTTCACACATAAAGTATTTACTCTATGGCAAGTATTGCTGTAAGCACTTTAATATGTTCATTCATTTAACCTTCACGATAATTATGTGAATTATATACTCTTATTACCTCCATTTTACTGATGAGGAAACTGAGGTGCAAAAAGGCTAAGTAACTTGTTCCAGGCCACAGAGCTTGTAAGTCCAAGAAGTGTTTCAGCTCCTAGGGTCAGTACCCTTAACCAGTACACACCGTGTAGCTTCTCTGACTCAAAGTAGTCAATTAAAAAACAGAACACCCACCCACCCCCGCCCAACACACACACACACACACACACACACACACACACACACAAATGCTGTTGTTTAGAAAGGCTGTGTAGTTTGCTTCCCTCCCCAACAACCTTGCCTAAATTACCTGGAAATATCTATACATATGTAGCAGTTTCTGCAGTTACCCAACCCTTCACTGGACTTTCCCCACCTAAACATAACTACCACCTCATTTGCCTTTGATGGTGAAACTTTAGTATGAGGTCAAGGGCATCTATTTCAAAAGAAGTCTAAAAAAACTTTTTTCAAAAAATAACGTAGGAAGATACACATGTGTGACCCACCACTTTTATTTGCGAGCAGAGTCTACTTTATTTGTACTTATAATGACCTTAGTGGAACATTTTTCAGCGTGTGCAACTTTGAACTGCTTCACTAACCAGATTAGTCAGGGGAAGAATTTCTCCTTCACTGGTGAGTCCAAATCTTATTACCGTGCTTGGGCCCGGTTACTAATTGCTGACATTCTGGACTTGCCAAATGCATTTAAAGAAGATGGCATGTGGGCGGGAACCTATATTTTCATCTTGGTAGATTTGATTGTACTTAATGGCCTTTCCCAATAGGCCTGGCCCTTGTGCTTTTAAATACAGAGCAAAAAATAGCTGTTCACAGCAAGACTGTTTCTAAGAGCTGGGAGGACCCTTGGAGACCATCTGGGCCAAGCTTTATCTTGACCCACAGGAAGCTGAAGCCCAGAAGTGAAAAATCATGTTGATGTGGAGGGCACCTCAGCCAGGAGGGGCTGTAGGCAGGTCACAGGCAGAGTGGGGGCCACACCCAGCTCTCCCTCCTGGGCTCCTCCCTGTGTGTCTCCAGCCTCGGCAAGGCCACGCTACTTACATGATGGCTTTGTCACATCTATGACCCACAAGCTCTGTTATTTATGTAATACCTTTCTTTAAATCAACCCATGTTTTAAACTTCATTTATTTTGAAAGCTTTCTTTAAATAGAAAATGGACACTTCCCACACAATAACGTCGCCCTACAATGGAGAAAGTATGGGAGGTGGACGGATCGGGTTCACAGACTTGTTCTGCCATTTCCTCGTAGGGCAATTGGCAAGCAAAGGAACTTCTTTGCTGTGCAGTTTCCTCAGCTGTAAAATTCATGCTAGTGCTGACCCCATAGGATGATAAGGGCATTATTGGCATGGGCACCTGTTAATTTACTTCCCTATTTTGATTCCCATTGATGCAATTTCTGCAGGAACTACACTAAAAATATTCAAAATGTTCTGTTTGGTTTTTCCCACATGACCTTTAGTGGTCAAAGAAAGGCAGGAGAGTGCCTTTGACTGCCACACCTGCCCTTCCAATGACATCTACAACTGTGTCCTCATGGAAGAAGAAATTGATGGCCAAGTCGACTCTCAGGAGCATTCAACGGGAGAAAATGAGCTTTTCTGCACCCACACACATTGTTTAAGAGCTTATATTCACATTTAATACCTAGCTGTCTGGGGGCCTCTAATGACCATAGTTCCTTTCTCAACCATGCTCGTTAATGGCCCCAAATCTCCTATGCAGAAAGAATTTAAGACTTCATGGAAAAATTGCTAAAGGGTGCCAAGGTGGAAACGATTTGGGGAAAATTTTTCTACACACTTCAACAAGGTAGAATAATGGAGTCAATAAACCCTGCCATACCAACATTAAGGATATTTATGATTTCTAGTTATAGCACTGAGTACATCCTATTTGATTAATTTGATTGTTCTGTCACGTGTAAACATATCTTGTAGATATTATATATCGTGCAAAGTGCTTTTTCTTTCCCTTTTCTTCCTCCATCCAAATTTTCAGTAATTTTAAACATTTTTTGATTTAGAACTGTTGAATTCCACCTCCCAGGTCCCACAGTGATTGTAGAGATGGGATAACTCTAATGTGTGAGATGGCAAATGCAATGCACAACTTGCTGCATCAGCTAGCAACTGCTGCATAACAAGTCACCCCAACACTTAAGAGCTTAAAACAACAAACATTTATCTCATCATTCTGTGGGGCAGCAACATGGGCTGGGCTCAGCCAAGGTGGTTCTTTTGGTCTCTGCTGGGCACCCTTATGCATCTGTGGGTAGCTGCAGGTCACAAGGGCAGATCTGCTTCTGGGGATTGGTTGCTTGTCTGGTAGAGAGCCTTGGCTTCCTCCATGGGCCTCATCACTCCATCAAGCTAGTCCAGGCTGGTTTACATGACAAAGGAAAGGGTTGGGGTGAGTGAAGAAAGAGTGAGCATGTAAGGCTTCTTGATGCCTTACATCAAGAAGAACTGGCACAGTGCCATTCCCACCACACCCTGTTGGCCAGAACAAGTCAAGGCCAATGCAGATTCAAGGTATTGGAACTAGACTTCACCTCTCGATGGGAAGAGCTTCCAAGTCAGTGCAAAGAGCATGGGAACAAGCAGGCCATTTACTGGGGCCACTGATGCAACAAATCTCCACCCTTACTGAGGAGATGTTTCTCAAGCTCTGTCCTTAACTCCCAGACTCTCCAGTTTGTGTCTTGCCTCTTTAAGCAGCCTGGCTACTGGAGTCCCCGGGAAGCCAGTTACTTTCATTCCCCTGATGCCTTTGCATCTTATTGTCTCCTAGCTTGCTCTTTCTCCCTTTCTCTTCACAGGTATTTCCAGTGAAGTCCCACTCTCCTCAACCCTCAGAGGATCTCTGGAAGGCCACACAGAACCTGGGACAGGAACCAAGGCACAGGGATGGGATGGAGACTCACAATTCACTGTTAACATTTTGATTCTCATTTGAATTTTTAACACACGCATCTATCACTTAAATTAATAGTAATGAAATTTTATTGCACTCTTCTTACCAAGTGCCAGGCATTGTGCTAAGTACTTGACCAACGTTATTCCATTCAGTCCCATGAAATAGGCAATAATCTTAATTCCCATTGTTTCATATAGATATAAAGAGGGTAAGTCACATGCCCAAGATCATGTAGTTAAACATTAGCCGAGCTGGTAATTGAACCCAGGCTGTCTGCCTCAAATGCCCATAGTCCTTGCCACTGCACTCTTGCCTTTTCTGCACAGAAGATATCTTGAAAGGGTTATCTACACTTGCTGTCTCCACTTATTGTCCACTCACTTCATACATAAGCACAAGCTGGCCTCTACCCTGATTAATCCATGAACTGGGTTCTCTCCAGGGTCAAAAATGACCTTGTCATTAAGTCAATTGCACATTTCTCAGTTTGTCTTTTGCTTGACTGCTGGGAGCTATTAGACTCTTTTGGCCACATATTCTTCTTGGAATATGATGCAACTTTGGATTCTCTGCAATCACACCTTCTGGATCATCCACCTCTGTCTCTATCACCTTTGCAAACTCTTCTCCTCTTCACGATGATCTCTCCTAGGCCTGCTTATCCTTCCAGTCTACATCCCCTGAGCAATTGAATTCACTCCCATGATTTCAGTGATAATAAATGGCCGACGGCTTCCAAACCTTCGTCTCCATCTTGAGCATCCTACTGCATCTTCCATTGGCAATCAGGCCTCTCCACTTAGCTGTTCCAAGGAGAACTCAGAAAGCCTTGAATGAATTGGACATCATGCTTCTGCCCATCACCATCAAAACCTCCCCTTCTTCCTTCATGTTTCACAATTCAGAAAAGCTCCACCCAGTAAAATAAATCAGAAATCTGAGAGTTAGCATTTTTGGAGGTGGGCCAGGCAGAGTGGGCCGATAGGCAAATGCATGCACCACCTGCAGGGGGCAGCCTCCCCCCAGCCTCAGTGCAGGCTGCTGCCCGCCCAGATGGAAGCCCATATTGCCAGACCTTTGGCCTTTTACACAACCAGCATTGCTATGTGAAATGCCCTGATTTTCAGAAATTGGCTACTAATTCAACCAAATATCAATAAAGCACTGTGCAGGTCAAATCTCCTGCTGACCAGGTGCAGTATGCAGGCTGCCAGGTCACACCTCTACCTGCCCACTCTCCTGGGTCAGCACACTCTCCCCCACAGCTGCAAGGGCCATTTCCGGCCAACACCCACATCTCTGTCTCCGGTCTGACCTTCTTCTTCAGCTCTAGATCCTCAAATCCATCTGCCCCTGCAGGCACCTCATGCTCAACCCATCATCCAACACTAACAGTCCAGTGTAACCATATCCCTCTGCTCTTTGAGAAAAGCTAGGAATCTGGATTTGCATGTGAAATCACCAATTTTTAAAACTCACATTAAAAAAACCATTTCAGATATAGAAATACTTTTTAATGGGTCAGACTTAACATGAAGGCCCCCAAGCTGCCACCCCTGACTTAATACAAGCTGACTAGCCACCAGGCACCATGCTGATGTTCAGTCCATCTTAACCAAGGCCCTAGAGGGGGTATTCCTATCCACATTCCCCTGTTTCAGGTGAGGAGGCAGGCTTAGCAAAATAGAGTAACTCACCAGGAAGTAGCACCACTAGTCAGTGGAGCTTGCTTCTGAGGCTTAGGTATTTTTGCCCAACTTTATTTCCCCTTAAGTTTGATAGTACAGTCTTGCTTTTCCTCTATCATTCATTTTCAGTACCATTTCCATTCCCAACCTCCACTCCTTTCCCATTAGAAGTGGTTTATAATTGAAGTATACAACCACCCAAATTCTTGTGCAATATCACATACACTAAAACTGCTAATAAGAGAAACTCTTGGTCTTCTTACTATCTCCCGGCTTGCTCTTTCTCCTTTTCTCTTCACAGGTATTTCCAGTATGTTCTACTCTCCTCAAACCTCAGAGCATCTCTGAAGGCCACACAAGAACATTTGTGTTTTAGCCCATTCTCATGCTGCTATAAAGAAATACCTGAGACTGGGTAATTTATAAAGAAAAAAGGTTTAATTGGCTCATGATTCTGCAGGCTATACAGGAAGCATAGTGGCTTCTGCTTCTGGGAGGCCTCAGGAAACTTTCAATCATGGCAAAATGTGAAAGGAAAGCAGGCACGTCCTACACAGCCAGAGTAGGAACAAGAGAGAGAGGGAAAGGTGCTACACACTTTTAAACAACCAGATCTCACGAGAACTCACTCACTATTACCAAGACAATACCAAGGGGGATGGCACTAAACCATTCATGAGAAATCCATTCCCATGATGCATTCACCTCCCACCAGGCCCCACCTTCAACATTGGGGATTACAGTTCAAAATGAGGTTTGGTGGGGACACAGATCCAAACCATATCAACTTGTAGGGGCAGAAAGACGTCACCTTTACTTGAATTGCAACCCTTACCTTTTCATCGCAGGCTGTAGGAGCAGAGCCTGACAACCAGCACTTGTCTTGGAGATCACTGCATCTAGAATAATCCTGCCCTAGAGATCTAGGTGGACACACAGGCAAGTAGGGGCCTGGTGGCCCACTGATTTCCCTACTGAAATAAAAAGCCAGATACAAGACTTCTACATCTGCAAAGGTGGAGTGGATGTGCTTTTCCCTACTTTTCCCACTAAATATGACTAAAAACCCTGGACATTATGTATACAACCAACGTAAGAGGATGCTGAAAGGAAGAGATAAAAGGCAAACCTGCTGGGGACCTCAGGACCTGAGGAACAACATGGTGGTGAGTTCCCTGGGTTTTTTGTTTTGCCTTATACATTTGTGACTCTAGAGAAACACAGGTAAAACAAAAGGTTTAAATCAGATCCAGAGTCTGATGACATAATACAAAAATGACCAAGTTTCAATAGAAAATCATTTATCTTATCAAGAACCAGAAAGATCTAACACTGGATTAGAGAAGACAATATATACCAACAGGAAAACAAACAGATTTTTAAAGCAGTCACAATAAAAGTTCTCCAACAGGCAATTATAAACATGCCTGAAACAAATGAAAAATAAAAAGTCTTGGCAAAGGGATAGAAATTCTTAGCAAAGAAATAGAAGATATAAAGAAGAACCAAATGGAAATTTTAGAGTTGAAAAATACAATAACTGAAATAAAAAGCTCAATGGATGAGCTCAAAGGTGAAATAGAGGGAACAGTGCAATAAGCTGGAACATAGGACAATAGAAATGACTCATCTGAATAACAGAGAGAAAATAGGCTTAAAAAAAAAACCCACAAAAAAAAAACCAAAATGAACAGAGCCTTCAGGGACCTACGGAACTATAAGAAAAGCTCAAATATTCATGTCATCAGAGTCCAAAAGGAGAAGAGAAAAGAGGATGAGGCTGAAAAAGTACTCAAATAAGTAATGGCTGAAAATGTCTCAAATTTGGCAGGAGACAAAAAAAAACTATAAATAAAAAAGCTGAATGAATTCCAAATAAAATATACCCAAAGAAACCCATACCAAGAAACATCATAGTCAAACTTCTGAAAACTAAAGACAAAGAAAAAAATCTTGACAGCAGGGAAAGATAAATTACATGTTACCTATAGGTAATTTCCTTATAAGGAAAAAAAATTTGAATGACAATGGATATCTTATCAGATAGCATTAAGGCCAGAATGTAATGGTATGATATTTTTCAAATGCTGAAAGAAAATAATTTTTAATCCAGAATTCTTTATGTAGTGAAAATATCCTTCAGGAATGAAGGGGAATCAAGACATTCTCAGATAAAGCAAAACTAAGAAAATGTTGCCAGCAGACCCATCCTCAAAGAATGGCTAAAGGAATATATCTAAACCAAAAAGAAATGATAAAAGAAGAAACCTTGTACTATCATGAAGAAAGAACACAGTGAACAAAACTATGGGCAAATAAAATAGACTTTTATTCTCCTCTTTTCTAAATTATATTTGATGATTGAAGCAAAAATTTTAATACTATCTGATGTGAATCTCAGAGTATGTAGAGAAAATAGTTAAGGCAATTAGAGTATAAATGGTGCAGAGTAAAGGGACATAAGAAGATGTTAGGTTTTTATATTGCATAAGAACTAGTAAAGTGGCATCAGTAAGCTGTGATACATAAAATGCAGTACATAGAGCAACCACTAAAAAGTCTATACAAAGAGATTCACTCAAACACAGTATAAATAAATAAAACTGGAATTTAAAAATGTTCCTGGCCAGGCCTGGTGGCTCATGCCTATAATTATCCAGCACTTTGGTAGGCCAAGGCAGGCAGGCTCAGAGCCTAGGAGTTTGAGACTAGCCAGGGCAACATAGTGAAACCCTATCTTTGCCAAGAAAAAAAAAATTAGCTGGGCACAGTGGTACACATCTGTAGTACCAGCTACTCAGGAGGCTGAGGTGGAAGGATGACTTAATCTAGAAAGTTGAGGCTGCAGTGAGCTGTGATTGCATCACAGCACTCCAGTATGTGCAACAGAGTGAGACCCTGTCTCAAAAACAAAATAAAACAGGCTGGGCCTGGTGGCTCATGCCTGTAATCCCAGCACTTTGAGAGGCCAAGGCAGGTGGATCACCTGAGGTCAGGAGTTCGAGACCACCCTGATCAATATAGTGAAACTCCATCTCTACTAAAAATACAAAAATTAGCCAGACTTGGGAGGCTGAGAGAGGAGAATTGCTTGAATCTGGGAGACGGAGGTTGCAGTTAGCCAAGATGGCACCATTGCACTCCAGCCTGGGCAACAGAGCGAGACTCCATCTCAAAACCAAACCAAACCAAACAAAACAAGAAAAAGTTCCTGTGCAAGTAACCTAGAAGAAGAAAAGAAAAAGAAAAAATAAATGAGAGAACCGAAATAAAAATAAAATGGCAGACTTAAACCATAACAATATGATAATTACATTAAATGTAAATGGTCTAAATATACCAACTAAAAAACAGACATTGGCAGAATGGATTTTTTAAAATGATATAAGTATATGTTGTCTACAAGAAACTCCCTTCAAATATAATGATGGTCTATGTAGAAAACCCCAAGTAAGCTACAAACAAAGCCAAACACCAAAAACCCAAACCCTCCTGGATTACAGAAGACAATAGATGCCAAAAAAAAGAACCCTATATCTGTATTTAATAAGTGAGTTCAACAAGATTACAGGATACAAGATCAACATACAAAAATCAATTTTACCTCTATATGCTACAAATTAACATGTGGAAACTGAAATTAAATATACCTAACATTTATAATTACTTATTTTAAAAAAGGTATAAATTTGACCAAATGTGTATAGAACTTGTATGCTGAAAACTATACAACATTTATGAAGGAATCAAAGAACAACTAAATAAATGGACATATATACCCATGTTCATGGATTGGAAGACTTAATAGTAAAAATGTCAGTTCTCGAAGAATATACATGTTTAATGCAATTCCTATCATAATCCCAGCAAAATTTTTAATGAATATAAACAAGGTTATTTTAAAATTTATATTGAAAGGTGAAGGAACTAGAATCGTTCAAAGAATCTTGTAGACTGAGTGTGGTAGCTCACATTTGTAATCCCAGTGCATTGGGAGGTCACAGTGGGAGGGTGGCTTAAGGCCGGGAGTTCAAGACCAGCCTGGGCAACATGGAGAGATTCCTTCTCTACCAAAAAAAAAAAAAAAAAAAAAAAAAAAAAAAAGTCTTGTAAATGAAGAATAAAGTGAGAGGAACCAGCCTATTCAATTTCAAGATTTATAGAGAACTTCAATAATCAAGACTGTGTGGTATTGGTGGAGGAATAGACACAGACCAAAGAAACAAAAGAGAGAACCCAGAAATAGACCTGTACAAGCAGGCAGCTGAATTTTACAAAAGTGCAAAAGCAATTCAGTGGAGGAAAGGCAGCCTTTTCAACAAACTGTGCTGGAGCAATGGGACATGTAGAGACAAATGAACCTTGATCTAAATCTCACACTCCAGACAAAAAGTAACTCAAAATAGCTTACAGACTTAAGCATAAAATGTAAATCTATACAACTTTTAGAGAAAAACACAGGAGAAAATCTCTTGAGGTAGGACTACACAGAGTTCTTAGACTTGACACCAAATGCATAATCCATAAAACAAAAAATTGATAAATTGTTTCTGATCAAAATGAAAACTTTTGCTCTGCAAAAGACCTTGTTAAAAGGATTAAAAGACAAGCTACAGACTGGAAGAAAATATTTGCAATCACACATCTAGTATCTAGTAGACTAATGTCTAGAATATACCAAGAACTCTCAAAACTCAACAGTAAGAAAACAACAAGCAAACAATTAAAAAATAGCCAAAGGCTGCAATGAACGGAGATCGTACCAACGCACTCCAGACTGGGTGACAGAACGAGACCCTGTCTCAAAAAAAAGAAAAAAGAAAAGAAAAGAAAGAAAGAAAATAGCCTAAAGGATGGGCGTGGTGGCTCATGCCTGTAATTCCAGCACTTTGGGAGGCTGAGGCCGGTCAGATCGCCTGAGCTCAGGAATTTGAGACCACCCTGGGCAACATGATGAAACCCCGTCTCTACTAAAATACAAAAAGTTAGCCAGGTGTGGTGGCCTGCACCTGTAGTCCCAGCTACTAGGGAGGCTGAGGCATGAGAATTGTTTGAGCCTGGGAGGTGGAGGTTGCAATGAAACAAGATGGCGCCACTGCACTTCAGCTTGGGCTACAGAGTGAGGCTCAGTCTCAAAAAAAAAAAAAAAAAAAGGGGGGTGGGGGGCAAGAAAATAGCCGAAAGACAAGAAAAGACATTTTACTGAATGGGATATATAGATGGCAAATACGCACATGAAACAACATTAGCCATTAGGCAAAAGCAAATTAAAAACCACAGTGAAATATCATCACTACACACTTAACAGAAAGACTAAAATTTTTAAAATGGTGACAACACTACATGCTGACATGAATGCTGAGAGACTGGTTCTCTCCTACACTGCTGGTAGGAATGTAAAATGCTACAGTCACTCTGGAAAACATTTTGGCATTCTCTTTAAAAACTTGCAATTTCCCTACAGCTCAGCAATTGCACTCCTGGGCCCTCATCTCAGAGAATGAAGACTTAGGTTCACACAAAAACATGTACACGGAGGTTTACAGCAGCTTTATTCTTAATCAACAAACACTGGAAACAACGCAGATATCCTTCAGCAGATGACCTGTTAGACACACTGTGGTACTTCCATACTGTGGACTGCTACACCCAACCCACCTGGAATTATGCTGAATGAAAAGGTGAATCCTAGAGGTTATGTACTTTATGATTCTATTCATAAAATATCCTTGAAATGACAAAATTTTAGAAATGGAGAACAAATTAGCAGTTGCCAGGGGTTCTAGGGGAGTGAGGATGAGAGGGAAGTGGATGTGGCTATAAAAGCATACCACTTTGTGGGGTAGAGACGTTCTGTAGCTTGACTACAGATATTCTATCAGTGTCAGTATCCTGTTGTGATATTTACTGTGGTTTGTGAGAAGTTGCCATTGCAGGAAACTGAGTAAAGGGCACATAGCATCTCTCTTTATTATTTGTTACAACTGCATGCGAATCTACAATTATCTCAGAATAAGTTTAATTAAAAGAAAAAGCCAGATACAGAACAATACGATCTGTCTCTTAACTCCCAAATTCCCAGTTGGCTGGCCACACACCACAGTCTCAGTTCTGTCCATAACCAAGTTTGGGGGATCTCTTCAAGTTTGCAAATGTCACTTCTACTGAGATCCCTCTGACAACTTCAGTGAAGTCTCTCCTCAAAGCTTTTTTTTTTTTTTTTTTTTTTTGAGACAGAGCCTTGCTCTGTCGCTCAGGCTGGAGTGCAATCACTGCAACCTCTGTCTCCCGGGTTCAAGCGATTCTCCTGCCTCAGCCTCCCGAGTAGCTGGGATTACAGGTGCCCGCTACCATGCCCAGCTAATTTTTGTATTTTTAGTAGAGATGGGGTTTCACCATGTTGGTCAGGCTGGTCTCCAGCTCCTGACCTCAGATGATCCACCTGCCTGGCCTCCCAAAGGACTGGGATTACAGGCGTGAGCCACTGAGCCCGGCCTCTCCTCCAAATTTTCAAGCTGTGTATTTTAAATCATAAAATGTTAGAGCCAGGAACATTTGAAATAATGCCTTGATAAAAGCGTCCATCAGACCCCCGAGCACCCTTCCTTTCCATGAATTATAACCAACGGAAATCCGGTGCACTTAGCATGTCCAGCTTTGAGTGAAGCCCCCAAGCTTCCTGCCCCTGAGACTGCCGCCCCTAAACCTCTCTTGCATGGATTCTGTAGAGCTGCCCCGACCAGAAGTCACTTAGCCACTCCTCTGCTCCAGGCCTCGTGGCCTGCTGGAGGCCAGACAGTGGGTAAGTCACGCTCAGCAGTGCCTACAACTCAAGCCACTGCTCAAAGGCTGTTGTTTTATTTCTCAAGTTAGACCACAGGCTCTGTAGCAACTTGGGCCTCCTTGGACACACACAGTGTGACGCTGAGACACAGTCCTCAACGCTGCTATGGTGTAGAATTTTTTGCGGAGAAAGACAGGAAGGCCTCTTGAGGTCAGTGTGAGACAGGGACACTCCACTGGGGCATAGGTATATCACTCACAGGTTGAAGGTAGGTAGACTGAGGCTCAAAGAGCAAGCGGAGGAGCTAATGTTCAACCCAGGTGGTGTGGAGTCTCAGTCCAGTGGCCTTACCCTCCACGGCCACGTTGCTAGTTATACTGGACAGAGCTCAGACTGTGCCCTGGCCTGTGTAGATGCACCAGAGGTTTTATCTGGGGGTCACAGCCGCTGGGAACGGGAGAGTTGCTGGGGATTGCCAGGAAGGGACAAGGCATTTGTAGCCATGCACCATCTGCTTTTACACTACCCTAGAGTCAAGTGGACCCCCTCCAGCATTTTTTTTTCCCCGAGATGGAGTCTCACTCTGTCACCCAGGCTGAAGTGCAATGGTGTGGTATCGGCTCACTGCAACCTCTGCCTCCCGGGTTCAAGCGATTCTCCTGAGTAGCTGGGACTACAGGCGCATGCCACCACGACCGGTTAATTGCCCCTCCAGCATTGTATGTGTCTGACTGCAATGAAGTGTGAGTGTGTCTGTGTGCGACTGTGTGTGTATGATGTGAGTGTGTCTGTGTCTATGTGGGGGCCAGGTGTATAGTCTGCATATGTCTGTGCACCTCTGTGTCTCTGTGGGTTGTCTGTGCCTATGTCTCGGCTTGTGTGTGTGCATGCATGTGTGGTCTGTGTGTGTCTGTATGCATGTGGTATCTCTGGGATGTGTGTCTGTATGTCCCTGCGTGCAGTGTAGTGACTTTGGGAGTGCACATGTGTACACGTGTGGTGAGTGTGCGGCCCTGCGCGAGTTGTCTGTGTACGTGTGGTGCCTGTGGGTCTGTGTGCGCGCGTGTGCCCGTGGGTGTGGTGTGTCCTCCCGCGCTGAGGCTCCCATGAACCCAGCTCAGTTCAGGCCTCCCTGACAGTCCTCGGGCGGCCACCCCGGGGCGCGGCTGTCCACGAGGCGCGGAGGAGAGGAGTGCGTGGCTGGGTCGGCGGGCGGCGCCCCCGCTCCTCCCCGCGGGCCGGGCACACGTGGGCCCCGGGCGCCGCCTCCCCGCGCCGCCCGCCGCCCGCCGGGTCCCGCGCGTCCCCACCCACCTCGGGCCGCCCCCGCCGCCGAGCCGGCCCAGGGATAAAGTGGCGGCGCAGACGCCGCACCCTGTCGCCGCGAAGCCGGTCGCGCGCAGCTCGTCCCGGCCCTGGCCCGCCGCAAACGAGGATCCGCTGCGCTCGGGGAACGCGACAGCGGCGCTCGTGGCCCCGGTAACTGCCTCCCGGCCCCTGCCCCAGCCCGCCAGTGCCGCCGTCAGGGGTGGGGAGCAGCACTGGGGTCCCGGACACGCCCGGCGTGGGCTCCCGCTACCCATGTGTGCGTGTGTGTGTGTGCACGGTGTGTGTGCGCGCGTGTCCGAGTGTGCGCGCGTGTGCGCGCGCGCGCGCCCTCCCTGCTCCTTCGCACCAGCCCCCAAACCAACTTGTCCCCATCAACTCCATCTTTCTAGTCCCCACCTTCCCCGGTGCAGACACCCGGCGAAGCCCACCCGGTTTTCCCAGCGGCATTTCCGATGACAGCTTCGGGGCTACGTGTCCTGTGCTGTCGGAGACGCACAGGAAGCAAAGTTTGTGAGAAGCCTTGGGGGCGACTTTGCCTTGGGCACCCGCATTTGTGCGTCTGCGAGGTGCCTCGGTGTGCGCGGAGCTAGTTTCCCAGTTTCCCGGGCCCCTCCCTTCTCCGAGCCCCTCTAGCGATTTGTTTAGGAAAAGTGATGACATGAACTAGTAGTGGAGAATCGCAGCGCCGCTCCCCGCCCTGGGGAGGGAGGGGAGCCCCGGAGAGCCTGCCGGTGGGAGCTGGAAGCAGGCTCCCGGCTGAGCGCCCCAGCCCGAAAGGCAGGGTCTGGGTGCGGGAAGAGGGCTCGGAGCTGCCTTCCTGCTGCCTTGGGGCCGCCCAGATGAGGGAACAGCCCGATTTGCCTGGTTCTGATTCTCCAGGCTGTCGTGGTTGTGGAATGCAAACGCCAGCACATAATGGAAACAGGTTTGTCATGTATCCTTGGAATTTCAGATGGGAGGAATAATCTGAGTATCATCCACCTCATTATTGTGCCCACTTGAAACTGTTCCTTGGAGATTTTAAGATAGATGGGTCTTCTTGCAGCTGGGTCTTTGTACCCATAGAGCTGACTATAATTTCCACTTGATTACAGCTAAAATAGTCTTTAAGATGAAGTTTCCTGAAATGATTTAAAATAAACACAGATGGGAAGGGGGAAAAACTGTAATGAGGCACTTAAAAAATAAAGTGAGCATTTTCTTAAGAACAAATGGGATTTTTCAGTCTTGGAGAGGTTTGCAAGAAATGTATGTATGTTTTAAACCTTTGAAACAGAGGGGTTTTTTAAACTGCTTTTAAAAAAATGTTACTGACTCTGAACTAGACTTTTCTCTCCTATCCATACATGTTCTTGAGATATTTCTGACTTTGGAATATGTCACTTTTCCTTCTAGGACCTGAAGACCCTTCCAGCATGCCAGAGGAAAGTTCCCCCAGGCGGACCCCGCAGAGCATTCCCTACCAGGACCTCCCTCACCTGGTCAATGCAGACGGACAGTACCTCTTCTGCAGGTACTGGAAACCCACAGGCACACCCAAGTAAGTCTTCCCCAGAAAGTCACCCCAGGTGACAGGGGAGCATGGCCCCTGCTTCTCCTCTGGTCGTTATCATGTGCCATCTGGGGCGGGGCCGCTTTCTCTATGACCTACTTCCCCTGCCGTTTTAATGTTAGGCTGAGCAATGTTAACAAAGCTAAAATGTATACTTTATAATTTTTAAATTTAAGAAGCAGGAATTCTTTTTTCATTATAACAACTCAGATATGGATCCTACCGTATGGCAATTTTCAAAAATTCCACATGACTTTATTTTTTGTACTGGAGTTGATTTCCGGTTGTACAGGCATTCATTTAAAATCAAACCCGACAATTAAGGAAAATCCCCTAGATGGATGAGAAACCCGAAGTAATACATATATCTTCACCTTTGCTCACTTTTCCTGCTTGTTTCTGAGCTTCTGAAGATGGCATACATGTGTCACCAGGAAGAAAGGGGCCTGGGTATTTCCTTCTGATTCCTTGCCAGCTCAATTACTTTGTACATTTTCCATCAAGGATTTGTCTTGCTATTAGAAGCAAACATTGGGACTATACACAAGACAGCTGGTCTCCTGCTGCTGCTCCCTCCTCTTGGATGAAGCAGGAAAACCCTGCTTGTTTGTGTTATTTGGAAAAAGAATTTATTTGTGGTAACCAATTGGCCTGGTGACAAGAACATTTCCTGTTCCAGGGACATTTTACCTGTTTTGTAGGCCTCTTGTCTCCTAGGGATCATTGTGTGGTTGGATTATGTCTCTCTTTGTGCTCCAGTAATCACCCAACCCTCACACAGGTGTAAAATTTCTTCTCTGTCTTCATCAAGGTATCTATGATCCAGGGAGCTGCACGTTAAAAACACAGAGATATGGACTTTTAAAACCCGGCATAGAGTCATAGCTTCAGGGCAGCTACACAGACTGGCTATGGTTTCTCTCTAGTGTTTTCAAGTGGGTAACGTGCTGAGAAGAGTTCCTACCAGTTCTGGTAATACATTTCTTAAAGAATGTGTCTGTACGTGCATACGCATTAGAGGAAGTGGGGGGGTTGTTGAGCATTATGATGCTAATTAATCATTAATTCTCCACTCTGACTTAACTGGCTGTAGAATTGCTCAATCTTGGATTAATTTCTAACAGATTAGTGGTTTGTGGTAATTTGATCAATATACAGAAAGAAGACAAATAATTGAAAATAGAAGTTTTTAATGTCTGAGTCTCAGACTTGGGGGGCTTTGTTGGTTAAGTAGTGAGGTTGTCCTAGTTCGAAGTCAACAAAAATAAAGAGGTTCTGCAGTCCTGGCACAGGGGGAGGGTGGTGGGTGAGTGGGTTAGAAACGGTCAAGTTGGCTGCCCTGCCCTCCCTTCGCCTGCGGGTGGTTTTCACAATCTCTGTGCTGAAGTTGCATTGCAGGGAGCCCTCTCTGCTCCGTTGCTTTTGCTCTAGTTAGAGATGATAACTCAACTTCTTAATTTAAACTGAGCTGCCTCTTGGATGTCAGCGTCCGCCTTGTGGTGGGTGCTGATGGGCTTAAGAACAGAGGTGGATGGTTGAGGCAGTTCGGCCCCAGAATTTGGAAGAAACCTATGGGTCTAGAAAAGGTTAAGGGAAAAAAATATTGAGGGCAGGAGCACTGAAATAGAAAGAGCAACAGAACCATGAGCATGTATGAACACTTTCCATAGTGTTATCCTCAGTTTACCAAAGAGGAAGGGGCTGGCCAAGGTCCTACCTACCTGTCCTGCCCTGCCTCCAGCCCCTGGAGATGATGCAGAGGTCCTGGAGGCCCCTTGCCATGACTCATGTTAACCCTGTGCTTGCTGGATCTTGGGGCAGTCTTGGGGGTCCTAGGGTGGGGGCTCAGGGCAGAGGTTTGTGCCAGCCAGCATGAAACACCTCTGTATCTTCATAACCGAGACCAGCTGCTCAGCCTGCCTGCCCTCTTGCATGATCTGGGAGACCCCCGCAGCATCATTATAATAAGTATTATTATTATTGCCTGCACAGAATCATTCACTCTGCTTTTAGGAAGAGGGAGGGGACCTCAAGTCACCAGGGCTTCAATCTTTCCCCCCAGGCTTTTTACCCCTCTTCAGCAAAACTAGGGCCTCGCTTTGTGCAATCCTGTCTCCTCCCAGTTAGGAAGAAAGAAGGGAGGAAAAGCAAGGGGCAAAAAAAGAGGAGACTGAACCCTCCCCCACTACTGTACCAACTGTGGGCAAAACCTGGGTTAAGAGCACCTCATCTCCAGCCCCGCCTCTGCTATCTTTCTCATAGAGACCCTAGGGACCTCAGAAGCCACCCCGGGGGCCTGTGGATATCTTATTATGCAGAAGGATCTGTGCCAGCCTCGGTTAGTCAGTACTGGTTTGGGTAGATTTTCTGGCCAACCAGTTACCTCCAGCTCCTGGAGCCTGCCGTGAGCACCTACAGAGACATATTGCCCCCAGAGGACCTGCTGGGTTCCAAGACTGGCTCTGCAGGTGGCTCGGAGCAACACTAAGCCACAGGTGTCAGCCGCTGCACTGGGAACCTGGCTTAACCCGCTTTATGCAAGCAAATTCTGTCGTATAAACACCAGCCTCCTCGGACTGGACCCTGAGAAAGAGAAAGCATGTCTTGGGTTAGCCTTTACCATCAGTGCTGTTTTTAACGTAGCAGGCCAGAGTCTCCGTATTTCATCATCAGGAATCAGAACTTAAACCTCCATTTGGCAGTACCAAGGCAAATTCATGCTGTAGTGTTTACGGTAATAACAAATCTTATACTTAAGGCATGGCACAATTATCTCATATTAATTGAGTGCCAGGTATGTTCTAGGGTCTGGACTAGATTCTGTGCACACATGACCTCATTTTACCTTCACATCAATCTGTGAGACAAGTATTATTATTCTTACTATTCCCATTTTACAGATGAGGAAACAGAGGTCCAATGTTACAAAGTATCTTTCTCCAAATGACCCTGCTGGCAGTAGTGGGATTTGGTCCGCAATCTTCTGACATGGACCAAATCCAATTGTTCTCCTTACACCACCAAGCAGGACAGATTTCTTCTTTATAGGTAGTGTTTTCCTGATAAATTCTTACATTTTGGGTTAGGGTAAACATCATTTCCTAGGGTAAAGAGGAAGAGAATAATTAATTCTCCCTAATCGTTTGCTCATAATATATCAAAGGTGGGAAATCAGCTGGGTTCCGTGGTACACATCTGTAGCCCCAGAAACTCAGAAGACAGAGGCGGGAAATTCCTTGAGACCAGGAGTTTGAGACCAGCCTGGGCAACGTGTTGAAATTCTGTCTCTTAAAAAAAAAAAAAGATTAGAGATAGGTATCCCTTCTGAAAACAACAACAACAATAACAAAAAACAGAATTTATGCCCTTGCCTGACTGGCTGCCTTATCCAATTCAACATGCTGGAACTTAAAAATATTGGCCGGGTGCAGTGGCTCACGCCTATAATCCCAACACATCGGGAGGCTGAGGCGGGTGGATCACTTGAGGCCAGGAGTTCGAGACCAGCCTGGCCAAAAGTGGTGAAACTCCCTCTCTACTAAAAATACAAAAAATTACCGGGGTGTGGTGGCAGACGCCTGTAGCCCCCGCTACTCGGGAGGCTGAGGCAGGAGAATCGCTTGAACCCAGGATGCAGAGGTTGCAGTGAGCGGAGATCGCACCACTGCACTCCAGCCTGGGTGACAGAGCAAGACTCCATCTCAAAAAAAGAAAAAGGGGGGGATACTGGATCATGAGCAAATGTCCACTGATGCTATCAGCACGGCGATGGAGACTGGCCCATGGATGGGGGCAAGCCGCTTTGTGGGCTCTTGAGCTAGGAAGTCACAGTTTCTCTTGTGCCCCTTTGAGAAATATTTAGCACCTTTGTATTCAGCCAACCAAGTGGCTCTCAGTCCATAGAAAGACGTCTAGAAGTTAACTGTGAGAATTCCTTACCCATGAGCTCAGGTGAGGGAAGGGTGCGGTCTGAAAACATTGTGCAATATGATGACTTAGACTCCAAAAATATCCTCATTTGACACTGGATGACCAGGAAGGCTGGAGAGCAGGCTGTAATTATATGATTGTACAACTCTGACCCCTGCCAGGCAGTGAGTTCAAGGCATGGAGCAGACCATATTTGCTGTTCATCTGCAAGGCCCGGCATGAAGGAGGTGCTGAGTAGAGGGTTACCGAGTGGACACATCTCACTCTCATCTTTCCTCAGTGCTAGTCCATCCACCGGCTCATGCCACTTGGCCTTCCTGGCAGCCCCTCAACTCTGGAGAGCTGGCCCACTTTCTTTTCTGTAGCTTCTGTTATGATGATAAAAACTGGTGTATTGAAGGAACTGGCTTAAAGTGTGATTGTCCCTCCCTCGCTGATGTCCCAAGACACACGACTGGGAGGCCAGCCCTCCCCACTTCCTCCAGAGCCCTGCCCTCACACCTCCAGTAAGTGCCTCCTCCTTTAAATCTCTGTTTAGCATTTTGTTCCAAATTCCCCTGCATTTATGGAGACCTTCTGGAACATAAGCCCTTTCTCTGAACCTTACTGGCCTTGCCTTCTAGTCCTTTCTTGCCTCAGACCTCGGTCACGTGGCTTTTCTCTCCAGGAACTTTGTAGTCACCCCTCACCATGGCTCCCTCCTCTCCCACCTGGCCAGCTCCACCGGTCTGAGCTGCCTCGGGGCCAGGGTGCAGCCTGCATGGTTTTCAGGATTTTCCCGTCGGTGACATGGAGCTAGGTGCTGCAAGGGGAACACAGGCCGTGGATGGACTAGCAAGGGAGATTTGGCATTGTTTCTGGAACCTGCCCAAGTCCTCAGAACTGTGGCCGCTTTCAGTGGATCTAGAACCAATAAGACAGGGCTCCTCCCTCCTGCAGTTCCTTCCCTTGCTCCCGGGAGTGGGGCTCAGTGATGGTCCCCATCACAGCCCTCCCGTTCTAGGCCCATGTTGACCCCTTTCTCCATGAAGCCTTCACTCTCTGTGTGTGTCTACAGCAATGGGCAGTGCCATCCTCGGGCACTTCCCCCATCTATGCCAGTTTACCTGGAGGAGAGGCCATGCCCTGAGGCCTGGGTAGATTTAAGTGATAGAGAACATCCCCCCTTCTTGCGTCCTCGTAATATCCTCCTCACATCAGCCCCCAGCCAGACACGGGTGTGGCACCTGTGGCTCTGGGAAATAAGGGCCCCTCCCAGCCATCTGGATCCATCCGGAGGTGAACAATTTTCACCATTTGCTTGCACATAATTCCATCCCCACGGCCTTCCTGAGACTTTGTCCTCAAAGGTGGGACTGGCTTTTCCTTCCCCGCCCTTAGGTTTTCTAATCAGGTTGTCAGCCGGCTGTTGAGTGCTTTCTTTCCCCCACCCCCTGCTTTGGGTGTTTGTTCAGTGTTCCAGGAAACCTTCTGCAGGTCCTGTTTTCATCTTTGAGTGTAGAAGGGAGTGTGAATTTCCATCTCCCCAGGCCGCAGCTGCTGAACCCTGTAGCCCTTCTGAACTCACGCCACCTGCGACTAGGTGTTCCCGCATCACCAGCCAGCTGGTTTAGCGCAGATGCTCCCTGGGGTCAGCTAAATCACACAGCTTATTGTCCCTTCAAGTGGCCATTTTGAACCCCACTCTGTCAGTCTCTGCAGGGGTGAGGACGGCCTGGCTCCTGCTCAGCGCCCCTCGCATGCAGCTCTGTGGCTACCCCATACGGCTCCTTGCTCTCCTCTCCCAGGATCCAAAGCAGCGATTCATTCAGCAAATACTTCCTTATTGACGTCTACATGGTCCTTGGGCGCCAGGGTGGGGAAAGGGTGGCAAAGATCATGCATCTGATGAAGGGGTGGGATGGACCAACACACGGATAATTATAATATGATGCAGCCAGGACCTAGAGGCAGGGCTGCTGCTATGCCACGCAGAGCCTTTGTGCAAATTAGACAGAGGTGCCCACTGGGCAGAGGCTGCCCCATGAGTTGGTGAGCAGAGTGTGGGCTGGGTCGCAGCTCCTACTTGCCCTTCTGTCCTGTGTCCTGGATGGTGTTCCACCCTCGGAAAGGGCACGTGGGGGAGAGGACCCAAACACAAAAGCATGAGCCAAAGGGTGGGTGTAGGGGCCCCAGCTTTGTATCCAAATAACCAGCTAGATGGAGAGGTTCATAGTAATATAGGCGCAAGGCAAAGAAGGCCGCGTCATGGCAAAGACGTAGCACCGCGTGTTAGCAGGAGATGGAGAGATGAACATGGACTGTACCTGAGGATGCATGGGCAGCAGAGGGAGAAGGAGGGTGACTCCCAGGTGTCTCTGGAGTGATGGCAGAAGGAGCTGGTGTTATTGAGGGTGTGGGAATGTGGGATTCTCCTTCACAGCACACACCTTTAATGTATTCTTTGCTCGGAACACGGTGGGGCTGCTGTGTGGCAAGGAGGATGCATGGGATCATCGCAAGCTGCGGGTCATTTGTTGACACAGCCATGGGATAAGCCAGGAGGGGAGTGAGGAGAAGGAGCAGTGGCCAACGAACTGATTACATTTCAGACGTCACCAGTTACAATATCAATCAATATGAATCACGAGTGACTCTGCTGAAGGTAAGGAAGGAATCAGCTTACACCCTCTCCCCACAAGGAGGAAAAAAAAGTGAAGCACCTTTGACATATGTCTGTTGTTCCATAAAATTTACTCTTAAACTCTGAGAAAATGGGCCCTACCATGCATCTTCTAGCAATGACATTATTTTTAGTCAGATTATTGCATTTTAGTAGCACCTTTTAAGTAGTCCATTTTAAGAATTTCCAGAAGTTTGTTTTTCTTGTATGAAGCTGTTATTTCTCCTTCTGATGCTTCTGCCTTTGTGATAGCGTAGCAAATTGTTTTATTTTTAAACAGGGCATTTCTTCTGGGCTTTTTAAAAATACTCTTCAAATAGCAAAGATCTTTTGATGGCAAGAGGCAAGGCCAGCTGCTATTCTTGCAGTTGAGTTTTCCAACAGCTTCTTTAAGGGATAATTTCTTCCAGTTGCTGTAAGAATGTTCTGCTGATACAAATCTGGCTTTGTTTTGCAGTAGAGTCGAAGAAAAAAAATAGCAGAATAAGCTGCTCCCTGAATAGCAACCTTTGTCCACCATTGTCTATTTATTGGCACCTTTTAGGTTTAGATCTTAATCCCAGATGCACTTTGTCCATGAATGCAAACCAAACTATTGGTCATTGTATACACGGAGGAAATGGTCTTTACTGGTGCAAATTTTTACAGCTGAGATGACAAGATGACCCTTGTCCCATATTGCAGGGTCATCCAAGATTCTTGTTGGTAGGAGTTTCTTTTCATTTCACACAGCCTTGTTCATTAGGGGATGGGGGTGGGGATGCTGCGGTGGTCAGCGAGTGAAACGGGGTGACATTGTTCTCTGTGTGTTTGAGGGCTATAAGAAGAGCTGTGTGTTGTGTGTTCCTACACTTGCAGCTGCCCCAAGTTGACCTTTGTGTCCATCTGCTAACATGCCTCTCTCCCGGGCTAATGCTGACCATTTATTCCCATGCTTGATGTTCCGCAAAGTCTCTTGTATATGGTGATGAGAAGGTATGCCTCACCTTCCAGGGAGTCACAGCTCTAGCAACATTCTGAAGAGAGGAAGGGAGAGTGGGAGGGAGGCAGGGAGGAAAGGAAGGAAGGAAAGAAGGAAGGAAGGAAGGAGGGAGAGAAGAAAGGAAGAAGAGAAGAGGGGAAGGGGAAAAATAAGGAGGAGGAAGGATAGAGGAGAGAATGAAGAGGAGGAAAACAACAGACTGAGCAGTAAGGTATCTTTAGAGATCAGCAGCTGTCCCTGACCTTGGGGACTTGCAGGAGGTTCATGGATAGTTTTTGGGGGTTAGAGTGTGGGGCTTTTGACATCAAAGGGGTATGTACACTTTTCTAGGAAAGGAAGATGGATCATAGGCTCCACCAGACTCTCAAAATGGGGGTCAATGACCCGGGAGTCCTGTGTCACCCTCATCATTTCATAGATGGAAAGACTGAGGCCCAGGGGATGAAAGGAGTTTCTCAGGCTGCCACAGGACTGGCTCAGGGCTGCAGGGCAGCCTCCTGATCACACGTTGCTTCTGCTTCAGGCTTTTCATCCAGAAGTTTCCCTTATGCCTTCTTCTGATCAATTTAAACTACAAGTTAGCCCTCCCCAGCAAATGTCCGGTTTGGAGCAGGGCTTGGAGAGGTACCAGACCCCTGTCTCCCATGGGAAGCCATTTGGCCAGCCTCCATTTTGCTGGGTCTGTTGACAGTGGTTAGAAGTATGTGGGCACCTAAGTGATGCCCGCCGAGGCTGCTAATAAGTGCAGATGGACCTCAGAAGAGATGGCCAGAGACCTACTTAGAGCAGCCAGGAGATAGGTGGGAGGAGGGGAGAAACTGTGGGAGGAACAGGAGCCCAGGAGGCCTCTGGGAGAACAAGAGTCGGAAGAAAGTGGCAGACTCTTATGAGGGGGCCCCAAACAAAAAGGAGGGAAGCAGGGGAAAAAAGAATGAAAAGGGAAAGAGATGGAAGGGCACAAAAAAACTGCACAGGCGGCCACATACAGCCTCTGGTTAATGTCTCCTTGTCAAGGCATGTCAATTTTCCCAGGTCATTGACAGTCTACTGGATTAGAGATTAAAAACCTTTAGTTAGGAAATTGCTGTCTTTAGACGTTTTAGAAGTTCCCCTCTGTTTATCCTCTTCCGTCAATCTTGAAGAGACGTGTTTCAGGGAAACATAGCCTCTCTGAACAGCAAAAGCCAATGGTGCATGCAGAAGAGCAGAGGTCCTGGGACAGGACTGCCAGGACCACACCCCGATCAACACCAGCCAGGTATGGGCCTCCAGAGACGCTACTGACCCATCACTGCAGCAGTTTTCTCATCTTTAAAATGAGGACTAATAGCACCTTTCCCACATGGCTGGTGCAGGTAAGAGAGAAATGTGGGCTCCCTGAGGGGTCAACGTGAACTCTCTTGATTCCTTTGTCCGCTTCATCTCCCTGCACCATCGTTCTGGGGACTCTGCGGACCTGTGCCAGGCTTGTTGATTGCCCACCGTTACCCCTTACTTCCCTCCACCCTCATGGCAAGCGCCAGTCACAGAGGACCCAGTATGAAAGCAATCATGCTTTTGACAGATTCCAGCCTGACTGCTGCCCTCACCACACCAGGCCACAGGCTTTCCCCAGGCCTCAGGTTACTCACCTTTTTTTTCTTAACTTTTTTGTTTCTTCAAATGAAACTCAGTTCCATGTCAAGGAGATTTCAGGCTCCCTGATAAACTTCTGCAGTTGCTGGGTGCTTCTTTTAAAAGTAAACAAAACAAGAAAGCCACAAGGAAGCCAGCCTTTGGTGTGAACTTCTTTTTGAGATAACACATAATAAGGGTAGCTCAACACTTTTCTTTTATGTGGAATGCAGTACAGGATTTGTGGCATAACTCTTGACTGGAAGGAGAACCAAACAACCCTTAGCTATTATAGCTGGAAGTCAACTTAAATAAGCCTTCCTTAGAGCATCCAGTCAATTTTCAGTGGTCCATGTCTTAAGGTATTCCAGTCTTTGGCATATGTTTTTCCTTTCGTCCTGATTACGTTATCATGGTTGGTAGAAATGTTTCTGCTGCAGAGAGTGAGACTGTTACTACAAGGGCCATGTGCTAGATCCAGAGTGGGCAGGATAGTCTGGGGTATGTTAGGAATCTATTGCTGTTACTCAGCCCATGATTCTGTGGGTTCGCAATTAGTGCTGGGCTCAGCTGGATGGGTCTTCTGTTGCTCCCAGCTGGGCTCCTGCATGTATCAATGGTCAGTTGTGGATCAGCAGGCACTGGCAGGCCAGCTAGAGGCTTGCCAGTCTTGGATGGCTTTACCACATCTGGTGTTGGCAGGCTGTTGGTGGGATCACCTCAGTTCTTGTCCATGTGGTTTATCATGCTTTCTCAGACTGGCCTGGATCTGTTATTAAGGTGGCAGTTTTTCAAGAGCAATGAGAACAGATGCCAGTATGCAAGTGCTTTTGAAGTCTCTCCTGTATCATGTTTGTGAATGTCCCACTGGCCAAAGCACATCAGGAGGCCAGCCCAGAGGCAGTATGTGAAGGCATGTCCAAGGAGCAAGGATGGAGGAGAGAATATTTTGTGGTCATTTTTGAAATCTGTTGCATGGGGGAAAATATATTTGTATTAATAGTTGGGACGAGGGTTGAAGTCTTATTACTACCTCTGCCTCTGAGTAACTTTAGACAAGGTACCAGCTCTAGACTCTCCAGCAAGTTCCCAGAAGTTTTTTCTTTTGCTATAACTCTGGGATAGTTTGCATCTTGCAAGAGTAGAACAACCTATGAGCTTCTCCAGGGCAGAATTCATGTTTAGCTTTTTTCTATCTTCTCCAACACATGCCTCTTGTAGAGTTTCATACCTGGCACAAAATAAGGGATCAAAACACGTTTGTTGCATGGATGATTCAAGTTCCTCATATTTACAGTGGGATGACTGAGAGAGGATGATTCCTGAAGTCTCTACTGCCACAGTTTTGCAGGAAAAGAATATAAGCATTTCTGTTGAGTATGGCTTCAAGGCATTAACCTTTTGTGCAGGAAAGGAGCACCTAAATCCAGAAGTATCACCGAAGGAGTTAGTGACACCTAGAAGAAGAATATTCCCTGCAGGTTACCCCTTGAGATACTGGATGGCTGTACTTTCACCAGTTTGGTTAGCTTTGCTGTAAAACTCTGTGTGAAATGCATCTACGAGTGGGAGTTACAGTATGGCAGGTGTTTTCCATTTTAGCACAGAAGTTGCTGTGGATGTCAGAATCTGGAGGGTTTGCTTCCTTTTTTGATTGGGTGGGGGAATGGTTCAACAGGTATTAATTGAGCTCCAGATGTAAACTCAGTACTGTGCTGGACAGCAAAGGAGGGTCCACAAACAGCATGGAGACGTGGCCCCTTTCACTTCTGACCTCTCCATGGCACTAGCTCTTGCTGAACACCTCGTGTATGCCAGGTCTCATTCCAGTTTGGAGATAAAGAAATGAAGTTGCCCTGCTCCTGCCTTTGAAGGCATCTCCATGCATTTGTCAGGGAGGCAGTGCCATACACCATGGATGTTGTCTTGTGAAGGCTGTGGATTCTGTGTTGGGATTTCAGAGGGACGTTTGGTGACTTTCAGCTGGATCTTGAAGGTAGAAAGGGACATTCTGGGCCGAAGGGAATCACACTCTCACAGGCATGGAAGTGAGAGAGGATACAGTGTGCTCTGAAAATAACAAGGATTATTTGGAAACTGGAGTCCGAAGTGCATGGCAGAATGTAAGTTTGGAATGGCTGGCTCAGGAGCCTGCATTGGAATGGCTGTTGTCTACTCTGCTGGGACCACTATAACAAAATACCACAGACTGGGGGTCTTCAACAACAGAAATTAATTTTCTTGCAGTTTTGGAGCCTAGAAGTCCAAGATCAAGGCGTCAACAGGGTTGATTTCTCCTGAAGCCTCTCTCTTTGGCTCACAGATACCAACCTTCTTTCTGTGTCCTCGTGTGGCCTTTCCTTTGTGCACTCAGTTCAGTTGGCAATGACCATTTTGACTTGCTAAGGAATTTGGGCTTCATTGTATAGGCTGTGCTGGGAACCATGATAGAGTCAGGGGCCATGTGGGTTGGTAATTGTTTACAGTCTAGTCCATTCAGAGCAACAGAGAAATTCCTGCAAAGGTTTTATGTGGCTAAATGTCTAGAATTGGACAAGGATCTCACCCTTTCACATCCGTACTTCTCTGTGGTTCCGTGGTGGATGCCCCAGCCTGCATGAAGTTGCTGTTGGTTTATCCTTTGCCTTGATGTCTTTTGTCCAAGACCATCTAGTCTCAGCAAGCCCCACAGGCCACCTGGCTCAAGGGCAGAGCCAGCACATCATGGGAGCATGCCAGGAATGAACTCTGTCATTGCAGAGTAAGGGTACTGTGCAGAGAACTGTGGCCATCCTCACTTCTTTCTTGCTGATTTTTGTCCTCAGGGATATCACTCATTAGTCTTTTTTTTTTTTATTGTTGTTTTAAGAGACAGGGCTTTGCTCTGTCACCCAGGCTAGAGTGTGTTGGCTCAATCATAGCTCACTGCAGTCTCCAACTCCTGGGCTCAGGTGATCCTCCCACCTCAGCCTCCTGAGTACCTGGGACTACAGGCACTTGCCACCATACCCAGACAATTTTTAAATTTTTTGCAGACACAGGATCTCACTATGTTGCCCAGGCATGTCACAAATTCCCAGGCTCAAATGATCCTATCTCCTCAGCCTCCAAAAGTGCTGGTATTCCAGGTGTGAGCCACCACACCTGGCCTCATGATTGGTCTTAATCAGACATGGCTCTCCCATTCTCCTCTCCCAGTGGCATTGCAGCTAGAGCTGGCTATAGGACTTGGTGATGGCTAATGAGACACAGAAGACGTTTCTGGAGGATATTAGCTCCATGATAAAAGGTAAGAGAGAGCAAGATGAGAAGATTGATCTCTCTCTCTGCCCCAATTCCCCTCACTCCCTACATTCTGCCTTTGTGGGCATAGTGCTTGCAGCTACAGTAGCCATCTTGTAGTCATGAGATGGCAAGGCTAACATGCTAACAGAGAGTGATGAAGAAAGCTGGGAAAATCTGGGTCCTTGATGGAACAGCTGAGCCAACCTTGGATCTGCCTATAAATATACCTTGATAATACAAAAATCCACACCGATGTGTCTCAACCACCAGGTATGTTCTGATTCTTTCAGCCAGATGGATCCAAATGATGGAAGATCCAAATGGTGGTGAGTGTTTGGGCTGCTGATGCTTGAACTGAGTCTAAAAATGGCCCAAGACAGATATGGAGGAGCATGAATGAGAAGGAGGAAAGGAATCCTAGGCACATGTCCAGACTAAGTAGAGGCACTGGAGGCAGGAATGAGCAGGAGAAGAGAGGCTGATGTTGGAGAATAGTGGGAGATGAGCTTGGAGCCTGAGTAGGCATTGGTTGGTTGCCTCCCCAGTATCCATTTCCTTCTTCCACCCACAGTGCCTTAAATTTAAGAGGCATCTCTCCTCTACTTTCAGCCCATGTGTTTCTGTTGGTGTTGACTCCACCCTGGTGAGAGGTTGATCTTGCAACAAGTTTAGCCTATCATCATTTTACATTCTCCCCAGCTACAGTGATTGGTTCAGGGATGGGCAAGTACCCAGTGCAAGTCAGTGATCAATAAGACTTCCCCTGGGACTTTTGGGAAGGAAACTGTCACTTTTCTCCTCTGAAGTTGACTCTAGAAGTGTGAACCCTGGGCACTCTGGCAACCATTTTAAGACTGCAAGGGGGAAGTCTGACCAAGAATGGAATCTACCTTAAGAAAGCAAAGCTAAGAAGTGTTGAAAGAGAAACCAGTTCCTGGTCATGTTGCCAGACCCCTTGAATCAAACCTAACAGTACTGAGCCTAACAATCACATAAACCAATAAGCATGGGAATCACTTTCTGTCACAACTGAAAGAATCATCATAGATCTGGAAATGGTCACATTGGGGGCTATGGTCATGTTGGAGGTTGTAGACAAAATTTTTGATAAGAAAGCTAGACTCTGGAGCAGAGAAAAAAAGAGTTTTCGTCCAGGCATGGTGGCTCACGCCTGTAATCTCAGCACTTTGGGAGGCCGAGGCGGGTGGATCACGAGGTCAGGAGATCGAGACCATCCTGACTAACATGGTGAAATCGCATCCCTACTAAAATACAAAAAATTAGCTGGGTATGGTGGTGGGCACCTGTAGTCCCAGCTACTCAGGAGGCTGAGGCAGGAGAATGGCGTGAACCCAGGAGGCGGAGCTTGCAGTGAGCCGAGATTACGCCACTGCACTCCAGCCTGGGCAACAGAGCGAGACTCCATCTCAAAAAAAAAAAAAAAAAAAAAAAAAAAAAGACTTTTCACAGCATGTCTAAATTAGCCAGAGTAGGGGTCAGAAAACATCATAAAATGAAGTTCTGAGTTCCTGCCCCTGTTCTTGTATGACTATGTCTTTAGTGGCCAAGAGACCTCCCTTCTCTCTTCTCATCACTGACAGAGTTACCAACCAGAGATTCACTTAATAAAATTATCTTTTAAAATGCAAATATCTTTTCACCTTAATACACTGAAAAAAGAAGAGCAAGTTAAGCCTAAAGCAAGCAGAAGGAAGAAAATCATAAAGATCAGAGCAGAAATTAGTGAAATAAAGAATAGGAAAACAATAGAGGAAATAAATCCAAAAGTTGGTTATTTGAAAATACCAATAAAATTGATAAATCTTCAGCTAGATTCATCAAGAAAAAAAGAGAGAAGACTTGAATTACTACAATCAGGAATGGAAGAGGTGATGTTACTACCAAATTTTCTAAAATAAAAAGGGTTATAAAGAAATACTATAAACAATTGTGTGCTAATAAATTTGATAACATAAATGAAATGAACAAATTTTAAGAAAGACCCAAACTTAGACTTAAAACAAGTAAAGACATTGAATTGGTAAGCAAAACAAAACCAAAACTAAAAAAACTACCAACAAAGAAAAACCCAGGCCCAGATGGTTTTGCTGTTGAAATCTACCAAACATGTAAAAAGAATTAATACCAATTCTCACAAACCTTTCCAAAAAATAGAGGAAAACACTTCCCAACTTATTCTAAGTGGTCATTATTACCCAGATAATAAAAGTAAACAAAGACATCACAAGAAAAGAAAACTAAAGGTCAGTATTTCTTATGAATAGAGATGCAAAAATACTTAACAAATACTAGCAAACTGAATCTGGCTAATTTTTGTATTTTTAGTAGAGATGGGATTTCATCATGTTAGCCAGGCTGGTCTCGAACTCCTGAGCTCAGGTGATCCACCCGCCTCGGCCTCCCAAAGTGCTGGGATTACAGGTGTGAGCCACCGCGCCTGGCCCTATCTACCTATTTATCCAGCCATCCATTCATTCATTCACCCATCCATCCACCAACTCACCCATTCATCCATTTACCCATCTACCCATCCATACATCCATTCATCCTTCCATCTATCCACCCACCCATACATCTACTCACACACCCACTCATCCATCCACCTACCATCTACCTATCCATACATTCATTTATCCTTCAGTCCATCCGTCCATCCATCCATCCATCCATCCATTCATTCGTTCATCCATCCACCCACCCCATACATCCACCCAGCCACCCATTCATCCACCCTTCCACCCATCCATTCACCAATCCACCCATCCATCCATTTATTCATTCATCCACCCATCCACACATTTACTTATCCATACATCCGTCAGTGTCATTCAGTAAATATTTACTGAGCACAAACTCTATGGCAGGCCTTGTGCTGGATCTTGGGTGACAGAGAAATCATTAAGACCCCATGGTCCCTGCCTTCCAAGGGCTCACAGCCCAAGGAGAACGGCAGGCAGGCAAGCCACTAGTGCATGTGCCAGGGTCTGGAGTCTAGACCGGGTGATTTGCCTGGAGAAGCTAGAGGGCTTCCCAGAGGAGAGGACCCTCACAGTCCCATGCTCATGCCCCACCTGGCCATTCAGTGCATTTAGAATTCTATGCACCAGAACAAAGATGGGCATTGTCAGGCTCTATCTCCACTGAGGCCCCAGCCAAGAATTGGGGAGACAGCCTGCTGATCTCCATGGCTTAACCTCAGAGGGCTGCAGGGAGGCATGTATTCCTTGAATACATGAGTTTCTTAAAATTCTTTTGTAACCACTTTTTATTTATGCTTGTATCACCTTTGGAAAGGGGCAGGAAACGAATCTCTTTGGAAGGCCCAAACCTTTGTCTGACACGTTGCTAGATACTTCTCTGGCTTTACCTCCCTGACTCTCACAGCACCCATGAGATGCCTGGCCTCATTCTTGCTATTTTATTGCCATAGACAGTGTCAGCTACATGCTATTAAGTGGCAGGGCCAGGATTTGAACCCAAGTCTGTTTGCTTTAAAAGCACCATTGAAATTCCAGCACCTAGCTATGCCTCGTAAAATATTGCAGAACCATGCCTGTAACTCAGCTGTGTGTACAGATGCTACGTAACCCTCACAACAACCCTAGTGGGGGGTGGGCATGATAAGCCCATTTTACAGGTGAGAAGACTGAGGCCCACAAAGGCTCAGTGGCTCTGATGAGGTCCCACAGTTAGGAATGCCAGGTCTGCGGTATGAGCCTGTGGTCCATGCCCCATTCACCCTCCATAGGTGTTCAGCTCCCGCTCCCACTGATGATGCTGGCCTGGCTGCAGATGCCCCTTCAGGTCATAATGGAGTGCAGAGGCCTCATTGTGCCTATGAAATTGTGACCATTTTCCTTAAATTCATCACTCAATGCTCGTCTCACCTCTCCCGCATTCTCAATAAATTCCTGATCATTTATCGCCATCCGTTTGGCATTTCACCACCCAGAGGAACTTGGAGCCATCTGCAGCCTTGGAAAGTTCAAGCTGTTCTCCTTCCAGGAAAGAAAATGAATGTTACATAAGATGGAGCCCAGCACATTCTTATAGAAGATCAGGAAACCACTTCTCTGACTAAAACAGCTCCCTGTTATCTCTGCCTCTTGCTTCCTATTTTATCCAGGTCCACAATCACACGGCAGCTGCCGTTTTTAAACATTCTCTCTTGCAGAGCCTTTAAAAAGAGCTCCATACTGTCCCTGTGTTCCCATAGAATGGCCGTCTCTCCAAGACCCCCATGGACTCTGTGAGGAAAGGCTTCTCCCACTGCATTGTTCCCAGCAGAGCCTGTGCTGGTGGCCTTGTCCTTTGTCCTTCAGGTGTGGGTGGGAGACCTCTCCAGGGGTCGAGGTGCCTGCAGACCCCCAGTGGACCCTGGCCCACTTCCTCCTAGTGCCTCTCTGGGGTGGCAGGCCTGGCCCAACTATTACCATTTCTTCTTCATAGAACAGGCTCTTCTTCTACTTGCTCATCTTAGGTTATTTTATTTGGTTATTGTCAATAAAACTGGCTCTGTGTTTTGGGGAAACATGTTCATTATAGAACCTTAAGAAACTGAAGTAGAAAGATGTGACTACTGACCACTCCAGGACAATTAACGTTGATGTGCACAGACTCTGAGGAGTTGGAAAGCACCCTAAAGATGATCTATTATAGTTTGACCTGTGGGCTCTACCATGGGGAAACTGAGGCCCAGGGGACTTAGGCTCACTCATTCCCCTGTAGGTGGCCATGGCAGGAGTGGGGAGTCCTACTCAGGGAGTCACTGTGGGATGGGGGACAAGTGAGCAGAAGCGATCAGTGGTCTCTGCCATGTGGCCAGGATGGCTTTAAGCAGACGTGACATTTGAGCCGGGTCTGGTCCGCCCCGTGGCCCTGCAACCCTCTGCTCACTGCCGGCCTCCTGGGCGACACTGCTTTCTGGCTCTGCGGCCCCATCCTCCTCCCATTGATGTTACCTCCTAACTAGCCATCTTGCATTCCGGGTGGTAATTCCTGCTAAATGGCTCCAGATCAGCTTTTCCCAAACCTTGATTGTTTACACGCCACCTTTGTGATTTTCATAGCGGCTATTTAAATTTCATATTATTTCTTCATAGTTTTTTTAAAATCAACTTTCTTTTTTACTTTAAATCTATTTTAAGAGGAAATTTTATTGTAACACAAGAAGTAGAAACCAGTGTCAGGGGCTGTAAATAGGTGACCACAAGGAGAAAACAAGGCGACAGTGTATTGCAGCTCTGCACTGGGGTACACTCAAGAGCCCTGAGCCACCCCGTCCTGAAAGTGGTGGTGAGCTAGTGCCTGAGAGGTGCTTAAAATGGGTCAGCACCTGAGTGAGTCTCTCTCTTAAGTACTCAGAGGATTGGAATGGGATGAACGAGGGAATGAGTAATGTTTTCCTGGTACACGGTGATGGCATTTCATGCTGTGACATCAAACTTCCCTAACTCATCCCAGGCACAACCAGCTGTGGGAGTCCTACAGGCTGAGAGACTCATGCTCTGCACACTCAGGGCTCATCACACCAGCTAGTAAATGTGCAGGGTTTTTAACAACCCTCTGTGTGATTTAGAGTCTAGCTCTCTTCTTTTTTGTTTTTTGCCCTGACATATATGCACATCTTCATTCAAAGTCATCCCATAAATGAGTGTACTGTTCCCCTCCTATGGAACATGCCTGTACAGTAAAAGCATCCCATATGGTGTGAGTGCACCAGCATCGGCCATGGTTTGCTGTGAGGCTGGTTGGCACCAAGGAGAATTAGAAGAAGCAGGTGGGGCCAGAATATCTTCACCCCCACCCCACTGCTTGTTCCTTCAGGCGGCCTGGAGGTGGGTGCCCACTGCCAGAACAAGAGCAAACAAAGGCCCTCCCCGTGCAGCAATAAAGAGACTCAGGCTTGTGCCAGGTGTGGTGGCTCACGCCTGTAATCTCAGCACTTTGGCAGGCTGAGGCAGGTGGATCATTTGAGGCCAGGAGTTCGAGACCAGCCTGGCCAACATGGCAAAACCCCATCTCTACTAAAAATACAAAAATAAACTGGGTGTGAGGGGACGCACCTGTAATCCCAGCTACTCAGGAGGCTGAGGCAGGAGAATCACTTGAACCCAGGAGGCGGAGGTTGCAGTGAGCCAAAATTGTGCCACTGCACCCCAGCCTGGGTGACAGAGCAAGACTCTGTCTAAAAAAAAAAAAGAGAGAGAGAGAGAGAGACTCAGGCTTGAAAGACAGTGCTCCAAGCTCTTGCACAGAAGCGAGGTCAGTCATACCAGCATCTGGTCCTTTTCCAGAATCTTGGGACAGCTGTGGAGCTCTTCATTAATGGACTGCTCTAAAAGTCACACCATGTGCCTTCCACAGACCATCAGTGATTTCCCAGAAGGGCAGTTCCAAATATTGATCTAAATGTCGCCTCAGAGGAGCCCTTTGGCATAAGAACCTTTTCAAAACCGGCCAGGGCCCCGGCTGGCCTAGAAGAGGCATCTGAAGAGATCGCACATGTTAATAAAGGTTCTTAATCTCTTGGCCTCCTATAATGCAGAACTGCTTTTCGATTAAAAATAAATCACTCCTGGAGCTTGCATCCCCAAAGCATATGAAATAATTTTGAGGCAGTAGATATCTTGTGTTGGAGGAGTAATAATAGCCATCTAAGTTTCCAGCCTAGTACAAGGGGGGTGATTATCCATCTCACCCCACTGGCACTGACATATTTTCTGCACCTGTAGGAGATTACAGGAGGATGGGAAAGTGTGGGAGAGGCTAATCAGGCTTAATTAGGGAATGCAGGATGTCGGTTTTGCTTGTTATTGCACCTGGGCACCAGGGCTGTCAGGCTGCTGACCGCCTCGGTGGGCCTCCACACTTTGGTCCTGTTTGCATTTTATGAGCAGCAAACAGGTATGCACCTAAGTAAGTGAAGTTCAAGACCAAACTCTTGAACCTAGTATCTCTTACACTCCGCAACTCTAGCATCTCCAGTCCTATAGGAAGCAGGCCTGTGCTGTGTGGTATGGAGCGGATGTCCCCTGTCTCCTGACCCTGACATGCTTGGCTCAGGGTGCCCAACCCGGCCTGGCATATGCTCATCTGCTAATTATTCTGGGTCCACACTAGACTGGAAGTTCCATAAGGGTAGGGACTTGGTCTGAGATGTGTCCCCAGAGCCTAACCCAGTGCCTGGCCAGACAGAGCTCTCAAGGAATCTCTGTTAAATAAGAAATAGAGGGCTGTGAGCTGTGTGGGCCTCTGTCTGGTGACAAGCATGGGTTCTTCCTGTTGGGTTACAGCTGTGGCCACAGCAGCCTTCCAGCTACTTTCATAGGGCTTCATCCTTTCTAGAAAAAAAATTATATATATAAATATTTTATATTATAAAATATATGATATATTTATTATATTATTATAAATACATATTTTAAAATACATAACATATACATATATATTTTTTCTTTCTTTTTTAAAGGAAATAAATACTTTAGGGACTACTCCAGAACCTTGCATGCATCTGAACTTTTCTTGGAAATGTCACCCCTTTTAATTTTGTTTTATTGTATTTTATTTTTGAGACGGAGTTTTGTTCTTGTTGCCCAGGCTGGAGTGCAATGGTGCGATCTCGGCTCACTGCAACCTCCGCCTCCCGGGTTCAAGTGATTCTCCTGCCTCAGCCTCCCAAGTAGCTGAGATTACAGGCATGCACCACCAGGCCTGGCTAATTTTGTATTTTTAGTAGGGATGGGGTTTCACCATGTTGGTCAGGCTGGTCTTGAAATCCTGATCTCAGGTGATCCACCAGCCTCAGCCTCACAAAGTGCTGAGATTACAGGCGTGAGCCGCCGCGCCTGGCCGTTACCCCCACTCCTTTTTTTTTTTTTTTTTTGAGATGGAGTTTCACTCTTGTTGCCCAGGCTGGAGTGCAATGGCGCTATCTCGGCTCACTGCAACCTCCACTTCCTGGGTTCAAGCGATTCTCCTGCCTCAGCCTCCTGAGTATCTGGGATTACAGGCGCTTGCCATCAGGCCTGGCTAGTTTTTGTATTTTTACTAGAGATGGGGTTTCACCATGTTAGTCAGGCTGGTCTAGAACTCCTGACCTTAGGCAATCCACCTGCCTTGGCCTCCCAAAGTGCTGGGATTACAGGCGTGAGCCACCGCACCTGGCTCATTACCCCTTTTTAATTAGTAGCATTGCTCTTCTCTCTCTGACTATACGTACTCTCTCTGACTTCTAAATTTATCAGCAGCTTCTTCTGAAGCTGGCCTGGTACCCGGTGAGCTCTACGGGACTCTGAGCTGAGTTTAGAGGAGGGAAAGGCAGTTGAAGGGATTTCTTGTTGGCTACAATGCTTAGACACCTCAGGGGGTGAAGCACATGCTCTGACTGTTACCAGTAAGTTCCCAGGCCAACCAGTGGGTAGTTCTTACTACCACACTTGGCTTGCTAGGGCTTTTGCATGAAAATGAATGTGAGGACATAAGATCAGTTGTGGCAGGAAGACACATAACTAACCACACAGGGGACCAACATAAAAGCTGTTTCCTCTGGTATAGGCTGACTAATGCACGGGTAGCCTGGCTGGGGCTCCACAGGCAGGAAAACATTTTGATAAGATGATTATAACAGTAGCCATAACAGTAGCCAACTTTATTGTGTATATTCTATGTTGTTTAATTCTCACTACAGGTCCTATGGTTCTCCTCATTTCACAGATGAAGAAACAGTAGTTCAGCAACTTGCCCAAACTCACAGAAGTAGGAAGTCACAGAGCCTAGATCTGAACTCAAGTCAACTGGCTATTCCCCATGTAAGGGGTCTTATTAATGATAGTCTGCATTTGTTAAGGTGCAGGCTGAGCACAGAGACCTCAAAATTTAGTGGCTGAAATAAGAGAGAGGTTTATTTTGCTCTCACTTAGCAGTCCAGAGGTGAGCAGTCCAAGTTGGTAGGGTCACTGGGCTCCACATGGCCATTCAGGGACCTAGGTTCCTTCCATCTTGTTGCCCCACCACCACTTAGAGTGTGGTTCAATCACCAAAGCTGGTCATTGCCTTCTCTGTGTTCCTGACCATGGGGAGGAGAAAGAGCAAGTCTAAGGCAAGCAGATTATTTCAAGTAGGTGTTGTAGAAATTGCATACGTCACTTCTATTCATATTCTATTGGCATAACTTAGTCATACGGCCACACCTAGCTGCAGGGAAGTCTGGGAAATATGGTCTCTATCTGGGCAGCCATATGAACAGTTAAAATTCTATAAAACTCTGTAACTACAGAAGAGAGAATGCAGTTTGGGGCAATCAGTTTGCAGTCTACCATAAAGACCATCTTCTCTTTTGTGAATATTAAGACTGGGCTACCACAGGACAGTGTTAAATGCATTCATGATCATATGCAGACATGGGGTCATCTATTCATTTCATAAATATGAAGCCCTTCCTTTGCCGGTACTACTGTAGTGAGCTGCTTGGGGGCTGCCAAGATGCCTGATTCACTGTCTCTTCCTGAGGCACAGCCGGGAGATGAGACATCAGCCAGGAATCAGGAAAGAGGAAAGAGAGTTGACTGGTGGATTTCATTCACTCATTCAACCTGGTGTATTTACACACATCTTGTGCTGAGAAAGGACTTGAGGTAGCCCACTTGTAGTAGGATACAGCTGGCAAAATGCTGTTCGTGTGCGTAATCTCTTTCACCTTCTCACCCACTCTGAGGGAGGCAGGGTAGTTTCAGAGGAGTTCTGGAAGCATCAGAAATCCCATGACTGGTGAGTGGTGAGGGCAGGATTTGGAGCTGGTCTTGAGGGTGGTAGAAAGGGCAAAGTGCAGATTCGAAGTTGGGAGAGTCCACATTCGAGGCCCGGCTCTTCTGATCCTAACGAATAGCTTCACTCACCCCTGGAAGCCTCAGTTTCCTCATCTGGAAAACTGATGCTCAGGCTACTTATGTCAAAGGGCCAGGAGGAGGACCTGCTGAGATAATGGGTGAGTTTCTGGGGCACGTAGATGCTCCACAGCCGTGAGTGTCCTCCCTGGCTTCTTAGGAGCACTTGGTCCCTGGCAATTTGCATTACATGTTCTATGATGTCCTAAGAATGTGTCCTCGAGAGAACAATGAGTCCATGGACTCAGGGACACTGGGCAGGGCCCTATCTAGGCCTTTGGTGTTTGGCTCCAAGTTCTCCCTTCATCGTGGGAATCCAGCTGCAGGCTTGAAAGGCAATGCTCCTGAGACTGCTCCCCTGCTCTGCCCTCAGCTTCCCTCGGGTGCTCTCCAGCTTGGCTGCACCACCTGTGACCTCACTTCATTGTGGACACCCTGACCAGGGCCCCAGTGACTGGGGTACCTGGAAAGGCTGTGGAGCCCAGCCTCCTACTGATAGGAACCTTCCTGCAGGTGAGGAGGATGGGAAGGGCATCCTGAGTGGAGGAGAGGCCACACAAAGGTGCGGGGAGATGATGTAAGTGCAGAGACATCAGTGATTTTGGCTGTTGACACAACAGGAATATGGCATTTGTGTGAGCACAGATTTGAGTGGGGGAAACTGGGGGCAGGGTGTGGAGTTAGGAGGCTGTTGGGATTGTTCAGGCTGTTGGGGTAATAAGGTCTGGGAGTGACAGCAGAGGGAATGGAAAGAACAAATCCAAGAGAAGTGAAGACTCAGCAAAGGGCCTGTCCAAGGAGGAAGTCCTGGAACCCAGAGTCCAGTGGCAGCTCCACAAGAGGACAGGCAGGGGCCACAGAGGCAAGAACAGGGCCCTGGGGTCCCAGCAGGGTACTTCGGAGCCCCAGGACTGTGACTCAGAGCAAAGCAGAGGCTGAAGCTGAAGGTGGGAGCTCAGAGAGACGTGCTGCCTGTTTTATGGCACCCAAAGAATTCACTTCATGGGCTAGAGTCTGACGCATAGAGAACCTGAACAGGCTCCTGCTTTCCTGCATACATAGATACGAAGAAAAGCAAAAGAGTGATTATCACAAAACTCTGGACAGTGGGTTGCTCCTGCAGGGAGAAAGGTATGCACTGTGCTTGCAAGGTGCTGGTCATGTGCTCTGTGTCTTTGACTGTTAGTAGGTACATCGGGTTTCCACCTGTTATGATTATTTGACCTGTGCAGATCAGTTGTTTGTACTTTTTAATACATATATCTGTTTCACAATGAAATGTCACACACCCCTTGCTGCTCTGGATGACATCAACCTGGGCAAAGTTGGAGATGAAGGTTAGAGATACACTGGAGAAATATATGCTATATAAAGAATTTTGGGCCAGGTACGGTGGGCCAGGTATGGTGGGCCCACATGCCTGTAATCCCAGCACTTTGGGAAGCCCAGGTGGGAGAATCACTTGACTCAGGAGTTCAAGACCAATCTGGGCAACATGGTGAAACCCTGTCTCTACAAAAAATAAAAATCAGCTGGGCAGTGGTGGCTCGCGCCTATAGTCCCAGCTACTCAGGAGGCTGAGGTGGGAGGACCGCTTGAGCCCGGGAGTTTGAGGCTGCAGTGAGCCATGATTACACCACTGCACTCCAGCCTGGGTGACAGAAGAAGACCAAGTCTCAAAAAAAAAGTTGATTTTTATGTTGTTTGTTTTTCTAATCTGGAATATTTGAGGAGTCTAGTGACATTCCGGATGTCTTAGGCATTATATGTCTTAGGCATATAAATAAGGAATCATAGACAGCCATAATAAAAGGATTGTGTTCAACCTCCATCTTTTCACCCTGAGTTTCTATTTTCAGGAGCCTTCCAGCTCAGAAAATAGGCTGCATGCGGAGCAAGACTAGACTGAGTCTTGACAGGTCGAGGGGAATATTACTTAGGAGACATGGTTCTCTTATTCGCCTCAGGAACATTTTTTTTTTGCCTGCAAAAAGCCAGGAGGATTCTCAGCTTTGCCCAGGTGTTCTCAGGGACAGCCACACAGAATGTCCCAGAAGCTGAGTGGAAAGCAGTCCTGGGATACACCCTCTGCAGAGGGATGGTGAAAGACAACTGGAGAGACGATTTTGATGCGGTCACACAGCCAACAGTGACAGTCATGTATGTGGCACAGCATGGCCTCTCGTGCCTGGGGACTGCACAGCATCACAGGCTTCTCCTCTGCCACCCTGTCCTCAAGCACACCAGTGGATTGCAGGCCTCCCACGGAGCTCTGCAGAGTGGGTAAGGCATCCGCCTTCCAGAACCTCTCAGCTTAGCAGGCTGGGTAAGGCAGGCAGTCGCCCCGGGGGAATGTGATAAGTGCCCAAAGAGAGATGTTAGCAGCATGATAAATTAGGTGGTAAATGCACCAGGCTCTCCGTCCCCGTCTGTTTCAGGCTGGTGGATGCTGGATTTGCTTTCGCACATTTATATGGAAATACATCTTTGCTGTGGCTTGTAATTTTCTAGTTGAATAACTTCAGGGTAGGCCTACTTTAGAATTTAATTATCCTTACGCTGGGAGAGCTTTGCTGAGGTTCAGTGCTCAGAAGAGTGCACGATTCTAAACATTGCGTGACACTCACCATAGGGCACCGTTGGCTGCAGTACATCACTGTTTTGAGGGTTGTATGATAGTGTTCTTATGTCCTGCTGACCCAGGAGTCAAGATGGACTGGTCTCAAATGAAATTCTGCCCTACCACTAATCACGCAGCAGGGAGGTTTCTCATCTACTGGATACTTAACCAAGAGGTTTTGAAGCCAGACTGATTTTGGC